>NC_000020.11:8551183-8702698 GCF_000001405.40 Homo sapiens | reverse complement strand
TTTTTCAGAGACTTGTAACACTAGATTCAATAATCTATAAGCCATATGGTTCAATTACTAAACTCCAGTGAGACAAACTGGCCTTGAAATCCTTTATCCTCGACAGACAACAGTAGGGTGTATTTGGATATCCATTTTATATGTGCATTTAGGTAGCAGTGAAACTGCATCCTAAATTATTGTTTTTCTCAGGGAATGAATGACACTTTATTTTCAGAAATGCTGGATTTAACCTACTCTAATTTAATATGTTTTCCTCATATATTTTATTACATTATCCAGTTTTCCATCTTATATAATTGCTGGTTAAAAGGAAGCTGCCTAAAGGGAGAAAAACCACCCTGGGAAGGAGGTGGGTAGGTGGTGTCAAGCGTAAGGAGAAAGGATATTGGGTGGGAGAAGAGAGAATGAAAAAACTAAGTGGTGAATTGCTATGTCATGGCCACCAGGAAGGCTAAGGTGATGAGGCATTGAAACAGATATATGGGATAAATAATAAAGCCAGACTACAAAACAAAAAGCCCTTCATAAAGGAGCTGAATGTCTCCTTTCCCAGAACGTAACTTTTTATTTTGACCCATACAGTAAACAGGGAGCAAATGCCAATAGGATCTCTTGCTTTTGGGATCTATCACACAGAAGCTTTCCAGGTCACACATACTGAAAGCAGATACACTGGGTGACATAAAAATGAACTCTGCAATCAGTTTATTTTGCTGCTGCACTATGCAGTGTAGCTATAGAATATAGTCTAATTATACTGTGAATATCTGGCCCAAATGTTCAGGGCAGCTAAAACTGGCAAATGTTGGGGGAATGTTTTCCCTGCCTCTACCAACATATTATGTGTAGGATGGAGAAAGACAAATTCACTTATCTGATGAGCAGAGGCAAGAAAGACTGAAAATGGAGGTTATGCTGTATTTGATCTACTTGCTCTGGGAAGGGAAAATTCATTCAAAAACATTTATTGAGCATCTACTATATGTCAGGTTCTGCTCAAAGAAGAGAACTTGGGACAGATCAGGGAACAGAACAAAGAGCCCTGTCTTTGTGGAGCTTATGCGTTAGTAGAAGGGACAATAAACAAGGAACATAGGAATTAAGCAAATTAGGCAGATTGTTGGAAGGTGATATGATAAGTGCCTTAGGAAAATACATTACTAAAAAGTGGGGGTGTCAGGGGTTACGTCAGTAGTGTGGGGATTGGGAGTGGTGGCTGGTGACAGTATTAAATAGATGGGTCCCAGGAGGCCTCACTGAGAAGGTGACATTTGAGGAAGGCTTCAAGGAGGCAAGGGAAGAACCAGGCAGATACCTATGAGAATACCATTCCAGGCAGAGGGAAGAGCCTGTGCAAAGGCTGTGAGGCGGGGCCAGCCTGGCACAGCCCATGAACAGCAAGGTCAGTACTGTTGGAGCCCAGTGGATGAGGGGGAAAGCAGTAAGAAACAAGGTAATGGGATTGCAGATTATGTAGGGCCTTGTGCCCTGTTTCTCTTCTTACTCTTTCTTATTACAAAGTCACTTTACACGCTGGGTTCAGGGAAAGCAGACTGCATGCTGATAATCATGCAAGCAGTGTTGGGACTAGGATGAGGCAAGAGAGGCGACTATGTGCAAAATTTAAAGAGACACTCACTCTCTAGTGCCAGCTCTGTGCTTACACAGCCCTGAGAGCAAAGACGTCCTTAAATTTTACTTGCTAGGAGACTTACTTGTCTTTCCTAGTCTCAGTCCTGATGCAAAGCATCCTTGCTACTGCATATCAGTCTGCAAAATAGGTTGGCATTTCCACTCCCCACATCCATCCTCACCCACTGTCACCTACCCACATCTCAGCCAGAACTGTCTATCCTGCTATGTGCATTAGCAGGAGGAATAGCTGGAAAAACCAACTGGGATGATGAATTCACTCCTGTCTTTAGCCAACCTGGTCACCTCCCCACATCTCAGCCAGAACTGTCTATCCTGCTATGTGCATTAGCAGGAGGAATAGCTGGAAAAACCAACTGGGATGATGAATTCACTCCTGTCTTTAGCCATCCTGGTCACCTCCCCACTCCCAACTCCAGCAGGCAGAGAGAGAAAGCAGCATTCTGGGTTAGATTTTAGTCTTTAAGCCTCTCACCCACTGGCAAGTGTATGGACGTGGTTGAGAAGCCATGCTTCCAGAGCCCAGAAAGAGATGTTCAATCAGCCCGTGACTCTGGGATTACAGATGTAATTGAAGAACCACTTCTATGATCGAGTGCACAAGGAGAGTCACTCCAAGTTGACTCAATGGCAGGCAGAGGCCAAGAAGCAAATGCTCCACATAAAATAAATATGCCTTAGGATGTGCTTGGTGTTTATTCTCCCACAAGGAACTCAGAGAACTTGGAGGATTTTAAATTATTAAGAAAATAACAATTGCTTCTCACAATGTCTCTGGAGGGTAGACAGGGCAGTGGCCTGGGGAGGGAGTGGGGCAGGTCTTCCTGGCGGATGGGCAGTGTGCGGTGCCACCAGCTCTCAGCTCCATCAGGGCGTGCTGTCTGCCATTCCAGGAGCATCATCATCCATCAACAGACAGATGAGCCCAAGCTGCACTGGTTCCACATGGGGGTAACCTGTCTCCACTTTTTCTTAAAGAGCCCAACTGTTAGACTGCATCTTAGGTAGTTGACAAAGGACCATAGCAAGGTCTGAGAGGGAAGAAGTGGGACTATGGAAATGAATTAAACATTGATTTTCCACTTAAGAAAATGCAAGGGTCATAATCATGCTCAATTTCAGGAACAGACACAGCTTTTAAAGATTTTGATCAGAATTAATGTCAACCCTGTATTAAACTTTGTTGTAAAATTTAAGTGAAGGGTGCTATTTTCTCTAATTATTGCATTGTAGGCTAAGTTGCATAAATGAAAAGTCGTATTCCTTAGGCACAACATAATACACATATTTTTAGGTGTGAATGATATTACTGCTGAAAACATTTTTATTATTGTCTAATACAGCAACTTCAATCAGAAAAATCCTTTTGTCTAAACAGAAACTTGGCTGTCCCTTGAAAATCTTGCTTCTTGTTAGCTGCTTTCTTCAGTGATCACTGTTTATTTTCTCACATCTCAAGTGTTTCACATTAAGAAGCTGGGGTTTGGGATCTTTTTGCTCTCAATGCTACTTCTAAAACACTACCTTTCAATCTTCTTTAAAAAAAAATCCTAGTTCCCATGAGGCAGCCAAAAGAGTTTTTACCTCTTCTTCACTTCTGCCATCTACTGAGCCACCCTTATTCAGAAAAGAGTTGGCAAGTGGCACACAGTTTCTTCATCCAAAGCTTCGTCACTAACCTTGGTGATATTAACATTGAATTCATCCCATATTCTTGCTTCTCAGTACTCTGATCTCCCATGTTCAATGGCCTTGTCTCCACTCACCTTAATTACTTACTTGGACTCTGTTTCCTTGGTTGCTTCAGATAAGAGTTAGTGACACTTCCCTGAGACCCAGGTATCCCAGGCAACAGGGCTTATGCCTTGGGACCTAGTGCGAGAGGTTGTCCTCTGGCCCTTCTCTTCTGATTCCCATTTAAAGGGGTGAGAAAGCCGGAGTCAGCGGAGAGAACATGTTCCCTGAAGCCCACAACTTCTTTCTCCAGTCACTCTCCAAGTACCTAGGACCCCAGATTTCCCCTACTCCAATGGCCCCTACCCCCTGGGGAAGGCTCTTTGCAGGACATGTGGACAGACTTTAGATATTTGGGCTTGGGTGTCCATACACATGAATGTGTGGCCCCTTGTGGTGCAAAATAGAGCTAAGGGTGGAAAAAGAGAGAGACCAAATGCACCTCATTTCTCACTAACAAGAATGGCTGATGCATCTTTATCAGTAACAGCTTTAGTCCTGCTTCCTAGATAGGATTTACTAAGATACCCTCTCATAGGATTGTTTGTGCCTCCTGACAGCACCCAATCCACTGCAAAACCCTTCTCCTTTGAACCGTCCCCCAAATCACCTACTATAAGCCCAAGTCCTGTAAGTCCTCTCTAATAAACTTTTACTGAGACACTCCAGCTCCCTACAACATGTGTTCTCCTTTGTTGTATGAGCAAACAAACCCAACTTGACCATAGGTATGTTCCTAGGGGTCTTTGACTGATAGACGTCAACATTCCAAAAGATAGCATCACAGAATGGAATCTTACATAATAATTAACAGTAATAATTAATACTATCATCATGATAAAGAAAGCCAACAAATCTAGAGTTATCTGAAACAATATTAATGAACCTTCTAAACAATGTGGAGTGAAAAAAGCAAGTCATAAAATAATGTATACTATAGTGTGAATCAATTTACAAGTGAAAAAAATTGGTGAAGCTACATCATTTAGGGCTGCATATAAATTTGTACTTTGTGCTCTAAAGAAGCGCAAAGTAGGGACCACTGTAATAGTCAGGATGGTAGTCACCTCTGAGGGTAAACGGGACATTCTGATGGGAATGGATACATGGAAGTGTTTCAGGTACTCCCCAAGTTTCTATTTCTCGATTTAGATGGTAGTTACATGGATGCATACTTTATAGCCATTAGTTAAAGCATAGAAATAAGTTGTCTGTATTCTTTATGGATATTTCACAAAAATAAAATGCAAGAAATTAGGAGTAAGAGTGCTAAAGAGGACAAGACAAATACCTTGATATTTCCTTTCACGAGACAGTTTCCTTAGAATTTGGTTAGCATGAATTAATTCACCTGATGCCAATTATTCATGAATAAACAGCCAAATTTTAGCCTCTGAAATTGCAAAGATGATTAACAGCCTTTGGACTTAATTGTGACCACTGGGACTTTCTACCTTAGGAGGCTTTAACCAAAAGGAATCAGGTGTCTCCAGCTGCCTCTCTTAGTAACATTCATATACTCTACCTTGAAAGATATTTCAGTTGTCATGGTGAAGCCATGGGTGATGACAGGTTCCTCTTCTGCAGTCCGTCCCTTCCAGCAGTCCAGCTCCACACAGCGACAACCAGACAGGAGCACTTGGCGATACATCTCAACAGAGGAGTTTCCAGCCAGTTGGCCAGCTATAAAACACCAACAAAACAAACCCCAGATTCCCATGAAGCAAGGATGACCGTGGTGCTTTCTTAGAAAGGCTCCTCAATAACAGGAAAACAAAGAGTCTAAGAGCTGCAGCAGTTATTCTTTGCCTTTCTTCTGCCTCAACATACCAGAAGGTAATGGCTCAATTTCAAATAGAATCTGTAGTAGTGCTTTGGGAAAAGATAGGGCATTGTAACAATAACAACGATGCATGTTTATTAACTATTTACCATGTGCCAATTACAGGTTTTTGGACTGTATATATACTAAACATTTAATCTTCACAAAAAATCTCTGTGGCATAACTATTTAATAAAAAAATACCCATTTCACATAATAAAATGGCACAGAGTTCGGTTGCCCAAGTTTCCAATGCTAGGAAGTAGAAGATCCAGGATTATAGCATCAAAACTCACTCTTTTAATTCTGACTGCCTCCTGATGAGAATTTATTGTTGGGAGACTGTTCTATTATATAAGTCAGCTGCCTCTGACATGTTTGCCAAAGGCACAAATGCTGAGAAAAGCTAAACATTCTGTTTTTAAAAGTGCTCTTTAAAAAAAAATAAATTTAAGGCCAGGCACAGTGGCTCACGCCTATAATCCCAGCATTTTGGGAGGCTGAGGCGAGCGGATCACGAGGTCAGGAGATCGAGACCATCCTGGCTAACATGGTGAAACCCCATCTCTGCTAAAAACACAAAAAATTAGCCGGGTGTGGTGGCAGGCGCCTGTAGTCCCAGCTACTCAGGAGGCTGAGGCAGGAGAATGGTGTGAACCCGGGAGGCGGAGCTTGCAGTGAGCCGAGATGGTGCCATTGCACTCCAGCCTGGGCAACAGAGTGAGACTCTGTCTCAAAAATAAATAAATAAATAAATAAATTTAAATTAAACAAAGGATCGCAAAACTTATTCTCTAATAATTACAAAATGTTGTTGAAAGAAACTAAAGAAGACCCAAATAAATGGAAATACATCTCATGTTCATGGAGCAGAAGACTTGGTATTGCTAAGATGACACTACTCCCCACCATTGGCCTAAAGATTCAATTCTTATCAAAATCTCACCAGGATTTTTTGGAAAAAATTGGCAAACTGATCCAAAGTTCATATAGAAATGTTAAGGAACCTGAAACAGCCAAAAGCAATCTTGAAAAATAAGAACAAAGATGGAGGAATCACACTTCTCAAAACTTAAAACAAAGCTACAGTAATCAAGACCATGTGGTACTGGCATAAAGACAGACATATAGATTAATGGAAATAGAATTGAGATTTCCAAAATAAACCCTCAATTTATGGTCAACTGGCTTTCAACAATTGCCAAGACAATTAAGTGCAGAAAGAACCATCTTTTCAATAGTGTTGGGACAACTGGATAGCCACATAAAAATAAAAAAAGAAGAACTTGGATCCTTACCTCATACCATAGAGAACTAAACTCAAATTGGATCAAGTGTACAAATATAAGAGCTAAAACTACAAAACCTTTAGAAGAAAACACAGCAGTAAATTTTTGTGACCTTGATTCAGCAATGGTTTTGTAGATACAACACCAAAAACACAAGCAATGGAAGAAAAAGATAAACTTTACCAGAA
Source organism: Homo sapiens (assembly GCF_000001405.40). Classification (NCBI taxonomy): domain Eukaryota; kingdom Metazoa; phylum Chordata; class Mammalia; order Primates; family Hominidae; genus Homo; species Homo sapiens. The sequence continues at coordinate 8,696,009 of NC_000020.11, read as the reverse complement.
TGGGACTTCTGTGAATAGAACTAACATACCCTACTAAAGTGATGAGAATTGTTATAATGAAGGCACCTGAAAGGTCTGAGGGCCTTGATTATAATACACAGGGCATGGAAGCCAAAAGCTCCTATTTTACTTAAGTCAGTGGAAGTCACTAATTTCAGGATAAACTATTTTTGAAAGAGTAATAATAAATAGCTCTTGCAACAGGCCCATTAGCAACACACAAATTGAAGTCTTTGGTTTTCCCTATTAAATATTTTCTTTGATTTATATTCTATAAGCCCCAATCATTTTTTTAAAAGTTTTTCTTTGAAATGGGATCTCACTCTGTCACCGAGGCTAGAGTGCAGTGGTGTGATCATAGCTCACTGAAGCTTCAACCCCCTAGGCTCAAGTCATCCTCCTTCCTAAGCCTCCTAAGTAACTGGGACCACAGATGTGCACGAGCATGCTCAACTAATTTTTGTATTTTGTTTAGAGACAGAGTCTCCTTATGTTGCCCAGGTTGGTCTCAAACTCCTGGGCTCAACCGATCCTCCTGCCTCTGCCTCAGGAAGTGCTGAGATTACAGGTATAAACCACCACATTTGGCCTACCATCATTTTTTTAAATAGCCAGTTAAAAGATGGCATATTGATGCAAACTGTTAAAATGACTTTGACATGGACAAGATGTGCCCCGTGGAGACACACAGGACAAAGAAAATGGGATTAAGCCTACTAGCTTAATTTTATTTTTATATGCATGTCATAATACTCAACCACCAGCATAACAAAAGGATGACATTTTTGAGTTCTATAGAGCCCTGGTAAATGCACTGAAAGGCTGATTAAGTGGGTCTGCATAATAACTTTTCTCTACTGGAAAAATGGGATGTTTTCAACACAAAGATGCATTTGGAAAAGCAGAAATGCTGACAAAATGATCTAGAAACTTCCTGATGCTGGATAATCAAATTGCCATTCCTAATTGCCTTTTCAAAGTACATTGTCATGGCAAAGATTTACAAAGGTCTTTTCTGCATTAGGGACAAGGGGACAGTGGGAGTAAAGGGGAAAAGACAAACATTTATATGTTATTTCTAAACTTAAAGAGGAGCTACTATAGCTAAAGGAAGTGAATAATTCAAATATTATCAGGTTATTTAATTTAAAATGCTTGCTCCTGCAGAAAATTGCACCGGTATTAAAGAATAGAGCAGATTTTTGTGTGTACTGTTTAGAGAATTGTTTACGCACATCACTGACTATATCAACACAATTACATATTGTACAATTTCTGAATCAATTTCATTAATACTAGTTGAATGTTACTAACTTTAGTAAGGATAGTGTGAAGAATTTAATCAGATTTAACAGTGTATCAAAGTAGATAAATACCTAACAGACACTAGAGCATTCTGTAATAAGAGGTTCAAAGTTTTGAGAAACATTTCCTTAGATTTTCTTGTGAATATTTTTAATCAAAGAACAATGAGAAGGAATTTGATGTATTTTTTGAATGTTGATCAGTTAATGTTTTGAAAACCATGGTAAGGCATGAGGTTGGGTTTGTGAGATGCAAAGGAATGTGGGGAAAAAAACTGAAGAATAAAAAAGAGAAAGAGTTTATTGTCCACCTAAGACCAACAGAATCCCTCCAAGGTAAACTCATTGTTCATTCTTAAAATGAATACTTTTTATTAGAAATGGAACCCTCCCAAAGAAAGCATACTTTGAGAAAACCCACATTTATCCATAATTATCCTATTCCTTGGAATGCATATTAGGTTCCCTGTATGTTTTACTTCATTTATGGAAATATTTTTCAAACACATGTATTCATATTCTCTGTTACTCTCTTTTCTGCCTTAAGCCTCAAAGCTGATTTATTTTTGTTCCCTAAAATTCTTAACTCATTATTACATCTCATCTACCCATTATATTTCCATTTGAATATATTGAATAAATATAGCTTCTGGGGCTAGCGGATCGCTGAAGGTTGAGATTAGTGATAGGTCATGAGTCATTCAACCTTTGGTATTTCTGAAACTAGTATTTGACATCATCTCTCCCTGGCTCTGAACATCCTCTGGAATACATTCCAAGTCCATGATTGAACTTGGGAGCTGAAGCTCCTTCTCAGAGTAATTCATAATACTGCCCCAAGTCACAGCTCTGCAACTTCTCACTTGAGTGCATTCATTTTGGGTGGCTGGTTACATTCCCTTGAGCTTTGTCTCAGATTACCCAAGGCATCCAGGGATAGAAAAAACCAGAAGATCAAAAATAGCAATTCCTCCATTAACACAAACTTCTGAAGAATTTTTCATCTTGCAGTGGCTGATGATTAATTGCCTGTTTTCATATTTATCATTATTGTCTTCCCTTCAACCTCCAGGGTAAGAAGGTTCCAGAATGTGATATATTTGTTAATTCAGTGGCCTTCTTCAATAGTTATTGTCCCCTTCAACAGATGGAGATGAGGACTACATTTCCTTGCTTTCAATGCTATGACAGCCATTCAGGGCATATAATCTCATGGCTACACCTGAGGAAACTGTCCAAAATGCAGAGAATGTATTATTTGTCTTGACCCTCTCTAGATGCATCTGTTTGATCTGATTTCTCAATTACATGGTATCTGCCTGCTGCCCCAGTGAAACCATGGTGCTTTCTTGAACACAGAGCAGTTGCCATGAGATGGCTTAGGAGACAAAGTGTCTATGTAAGAGCCTAAAGTCATTTCCACTCTTAAGAAAATGACTTCAAGTATATACTTTACTGATTATAGGAGCTTCACCATTATGTGTTTGTACATATTCCCCAAAACATTTTCTGTGGGAGGCAAAATACTGGTTACTGGGGATATGAAAGTGATATGAGACATATTCCTTTACCCTTACCATCCAGGTAGGGAGGCAAACATAAATTTCTTCCCATTCTTACACTTCTGGTTGCCCTTTCTGTCTCTTCTTTCTCTTTTTCCTTGCCAGTAAAATATTTTATCTAGGTTCTGATATGCTTCAGGGTCTTCTCTGCAGCCTTGGGGTAAATCTTGATTCTTCTCAGTCAGTCATGGTAGTTCTGTGGCCCATGTTAGCAATTACTGTGGGCATTGATGTGTGGTGTGACTCTGAGCTATATATAACATGGCATAAAGAATGCCTACCAGATTGAGGGGATGGAGGTGGGGGGCTGTCAGGGAACCTCTAGGAACATTTTCTTCACTCTTAGAAGGGTCACAAGAACTTTCGCCATGTCCTTTGTGGATCTTGGTTCACAGGGAGGTAATGCTTAGGGTACACAGTCATCTTGAAACCATAAGGAGACCAAAAAGACAGAAACCACCTGGGTCTTCCATGATATTAATGAATTCCTGATTTAACCAATCCTCAACCACTCTGCTCCTGGGTGCCTTGCTGTGTGAGGGAATACACTGCTTAAATCTTTAAGCCATTAAATAATAGCATCCTATTACTTTCAGCCACAAGAACCCTGGCTGTTTTAATTTATCTACATTTTACAAACAAACCAAGGCTCAAATGAGTTAAGTATGTCATTTACTTAAAGGCCATTTTAAACTGGGCCCTGTTTATTTCCTAAGCTCATCTTCTTTTCATTCTACCACCTGACTTTTTAGGTCTGTGTGTGCTCTAAAGCAAAAACAAATGATAAAACGTTGCATATGCTAAGGGCTAAATGAGTGGGAGAGATGGGAAAGAGAGGAGGGGTGCTCAAAGTCTGGGTTTGTAGCAGATGACTGGGAAGGGTACAGCTAGGTCTTAAATCATTTTTAGAACTTTTCTTCAGCCAAGAACTTATACATGAGGAGAGGAGTTGAATAATTATCAGAAACATTCAGTCAGATAATTTAATTCATCAGATTATTGGGGATAGCAAAACCCTCAAATCTAATGGTTTCTTTCTTATCTGAATGAAGATATTAGCTGTCCGGAGATAGATTGCTTTGCCTTTCCAGTGTTTCTGAAGCCATTATCTCCCAAATAGTTGGGAGTATGGGAAGGTTTATGAAGAGGTGCACAAGTATAGGTTGTATTTACTGCATAGTGTTTCTTCCTAGGAAGATTTCTTTTTCTTGAGTCATAGGGCAGATTCCTCAAGGAAAAGCAATAATTTAAAACATAATCAGTACTGAGGGTACTGCCAAAATCACCCCAAATCCAAAAAGTGACCATGATAATTAAAAACCACTCATTCAGTGCATCTATTTCTCTCAATGATACAATTTATTTTTACTTCTGGGCATCTTGATATTCAACAAAGGGGCAATAATGAGCAGAGAAATAGACATAATAATAATGCATTGCTAAACTGATTGGTTTCATTCTGTATATTTAATTTTTACAGTCCCTTTGGATGCTCAAAGAAAATATCCTGAATATTGAAATTCTTCCTATTTGGATTTAGATAGCATTTTTCAGGAATATTAGTCCTTAAAATGCTCCAAGAAAATAAGTTGGGTGGTGACAAGGAGGATGAAGAGTTGATGACTGTGAGACTCTGATCCTTTTATTTTATATTCAAAACACATTACGGTAGGTGCTAACCTTCCTTTGCACCTAGCATTTCTTAAACTCATTTAAATAGGAAAACTTTCTTTTTTCCACCACTCTTTATATGAAATAATGTTTCTATAAATACAGTTTTTACTTGTTCTGAAAATGGCTGTAAAGTATAAAAACTAAATTATTTTCTAGATATTAATTTAAAAATTTAATAGGATTCAATTGGATTAGGCATTGGTTATATTTTTATTTTATAACATTCTTAATTGATTTGGGGTAGCTTGAATGTTTATATCATAGAAATTTGAGTTTATCCAAAGGCTTCTGAGAAACAGGACTTCTACATTAGTTTCATCTGTAATTAAAACAATGATTCTACCAATAATATGTGAAGTAAAACCAAATTTTGACCCATGAGTCAAAACAGCATTTCAGGCAAAACTTCAAGAGCCTGTATTTATATTTTTATATAGTTTTGTTTCTAATTATATGGAATTCTCCTTAATTTCCTTGCAGGAAAATAAATGGCTGGTACTGGGGCAAGGTAATACTGTGAGAATGTAGATTTGACTGCCTTTGCAAAAATCATGACAGTGAGAGAAATCTGACATAGCTGACTCCATCTTGCTTCTAACCTCACAAATTAACTGTCCTTGCTCATTCCTGAGTACAGGCCAAGATAACTATGGGAGGAAATTAGTATATAGTTTGATTTTAAAACAAAGATGATAACAGTCCCTTTCCAAAACTAATCCCCTCCTTTCCTGGGGACCAAAACAACTTTTGTAAGACTAACAAATTAACCACAAGGTTGGAATTATGGTTTAGGACTGAAGTCACAAGATTCGTAACCTCCCTAATTGCTCCTATATATAACATCACTATTATAAAACCTAAGACTGGTGTTTAAGGTATTTTTCAGGCCTTGAATTCTCATGGACCAACTACTGCCACCCATCCTGTGACCCATGCCAAGAAACAGACTTAACTTCTCCCAGGGACTGTCTCAGTCCAAGAAGACAGCTTTGACTCCCATGTCATTTCTTTCCTGACCCACCAATCAGCATTCCCCATTCCCTAACCACTTCCCAACCCCCTGCTGCCTAACTATCCTTGAAAAATCCTAGCTTCTGGATTATCAGAGAGACTGATTTGAGAAATATGTCCCATCCTTCTGCTCCACTGCCTTGCAATAAGTAAACTTTCTCTGTTGTAACACCTGCTGTTCTCAGTGTATTGGCTTTTTCTAGGCAGCAGGCAAGAAGAACCCAGTTGAGTGGTTACAGATTTATCTAATGCAAACCTTGGTATAATAATACAGAGCTCAGAAAAGGGAGCAAGATAAAAAAAAAAAACAACAGCAAAAACAAAACCCCTTAGATGAGAATACAATTTAACATAGTTAATATAGTTTTAAAAACTGAGTATTTGAAAATATGTGGATTCTAACAGTACTAGAAATTAAATAATTGAAGAGATAATTGACCAGAAACGAGGTATATGAATCAGATGGTGTTGATACAAAACCATTGTACAGAAATTTGGAGACAGCTATTAGAGTTCTTTCTTCATAAAAAAGGTAAACCCTTTTCTTTCCTAATAGCTGAAAGTATCACATCATCTTTTTAGTCTGATTAGCTGTTAATATGCCAACACCCTCAAATTTAAACTAACCTGACACAATGGAGCCAAATTTTTTACCACATCTGTGTTTAACAAGTTATACATAGGAAGGGCATATGAATGACTTCAGAAGAAATTAATTTAGAAGAAGAAATTAATTTGATTGTAAATTTTTAGTGAAATGTAATTTAAAAACTGCATACACAAATTTGAACTACATTTTGTAGTTTTATTATTTGTATTAATATTGAAAATTTTCTTAATACTATTATAAGGTTTTCAGTAAAGAAAATGAGTTAGTATGTATAATCTGTTAGGTATCAAGATTACTAAAAAGAGCACAGCTCAGCAAAATTGGCATACAAGGGACACACCTTAATGAATTAAAAGCCACCTATGACAAACCCACAGCCAACTTAATACTGAATGGGGAAAAGCTGAAAGCATTCTTCCTGAGAACGGGAACAAAACAAGGATGCCCACTCTCACCACCCTTCTTCATCATAGTACTGGAAGTCTTGGCCAGAGCAATCAGACAAGAGAAAGAAATAAAGGGCATCCAAATAAGTGAAGAGGAAGTCAAACTGTCCCTGACTGCTGACGATATGATTGTTTACCTTGAAAATCCTAAGGACGCCTCTAGAAAGCTCCTAGAACAGATAAGAGAATTCAGCAAAGTTTTCAGATACAAGATTAATATATTCAAATCAGTAGCTCTTTTATACACCAACAGTGACCAAGCAGATAATCAAATCAAGAACTCAACCCTTTTACAATAGCTGCAAAAAAAAAAAAAATACTGAGGAATATACCTAAAAAAGGAGTCAAAAGGCTTCTACAAGGAAAACTACAAAACACTGCTGAAATAAATCATAGATGACAAACAAATGAAAACACATCCCATGCTCATGGATGGGTAGAATCAATATTGTGAGAATGGCCACACTGCCAAAAGCAATCTACAAATTCAATGCAATCTCCATCAAAATACCACCATCATTCTTCACAGAGTTAGAAAAAACAATTCTAAAATTCATACGGAACCAAAAAATAGCCCGCATAGCCAAAGCAAGACTAAGCAAAAAGAACAAATCTGGAAGCATCACACTACCTGATTTCAAACTATACTCTAAGGGCATAGTCACCAAAACAGTGTGGTACTGGCATAAAAATAGGCACTCAGAACAATGGGACAGAATAGAGAACCCAGAAATAAACCCAAATACTTACAGCCAACTGATCTTTGACAAAGCAAACAAAAACATAAAGTGGGGGAAAAACACCCTTTTCAACAAAGTGTGCTGGGGTAATTGGCTAGCCACATGTAGGAAAATGAAACTGGATCCTCATCTCTCACCTTATACAAAAATCAACTCAAGATGGATTAAGGACCTAAATCTAAGACCTGAAACTATAAAAATTCTAGAAGATAACATTAGAAAAACCCTTCTAGACATTGGCTTAGGCAAGGATTTCATGACCAAAAATTGCTTTTGGGTAAAAGCAATTGCATAAAAACAAAGATACATGGCTGGGACCTAATTAAACTAAAGAGCTTTTGCACAGCAAAAGGAACAGTCAGCAGAATAAACAGACAACCCACAGAGTGGGAGAAAATATTCACAATCTATACATCTGACAAAGGACTAATATCCAGAATCTACAATGAACTCAAACAAATCAGCAAGGAGAAAACAATCAATTCCATCAAAAAGTGGGCTAAGGACATGAATAGACAACTCTCAAAAGAAGATGTACAAATGACCAACACACATATGAAAAAATGCTCAACATCACTAATGATCAGGGAAATGCAAATCAAAACCACAATGCGATACCACCTTACTCTTGCAACAATGGCCATAATCCAAGAATCAAAAAACAGTAGAAGTTGGCATGGATGCAGCAATCAGGGAACACTTCTACACTGCTGGTGGGAATGTAAACTAGTACAGCCACTATGGAAAACAGTGTGGAGATTCCTTAAAGAACTAAAAGTAGAACTACCATTTGATCCAGCCGTCCCACTAATGGGTATCTACCCAGAGGAAAATAAGTCACTATTTGAAAAAGATACTTGCACACGCATGTTTACAGCAGCACAATTCACAATAGCAAAATCGTGGAACCAACTGAAATGCCCATCAGTCAATGAGTAGATATAGAAACTGTGGTATGTATACATGATAGAACACTACTCATCCACAAAAAGGAATGAATTAACAGCATTTCCAATGACTTGGATGAGATTAGAGACGATTTTTCTAAGTGAAGTAACTCAGGAATGGAAAACCAAACATCGTATGTTCTCTCTGATATGTGGGAGCTAAGCTATGAGGACGCAAAGGCATAAGAATGATATAATAGACTTTGGGGACTTGGGGCAGGGGGTGAGGGATAAAAGACAACCAATATGGTTCAGTGTATACTGCTCGGGTGATGGGTGCACCAGGATCTCATCTTACAAATCTCCACTAAAGAACTTACTCATGTAACCAAATACCACCTATACCCTTATAACTTATGGAAAAATAATTTAAAAAAATAATTTAAATTGGGGACAGGCACAGTGGCTCATGTCGTTAATCCCAGGACTTTGGGAGGCTGAGGCAGAAGGATTGCTTGAGCTCAGGAGTCTGAGTCCAGCCTGGGCAACATAGTGAGACCTTGTCTTTACAAGAAATAAAAAATTAGCCAGGTGTGGTGGCACGTGCCTGTAGTTTCAGCTACTCAGGAGGCTGAGGTGGGAGGATTGCTTGAGCCCAGGAGATCGGGACTACAGTGAGCTATCATCATGCCACTGTGCTCCAGCCTGGGCAACAGAGTGAGGCCCTGTCTCAAGAATAATAATAATAATAATAATTTAAATTGGTAGGTAGAAGTAGAAATATTTATGTGAACTCGTGCCTTAAAAAGACAAAAAAAAATTATCTTTTCTTCCTTTGTTCACTGAAACAGTCCAGGCAATGTTCAGGGTCCAAATTGCTGTTACTCATACTTTTTCTTTCCCATCAAAAAGAACCAGGGCTCACTGGAGAATAGTCTGTTTCCATCTCTGGAGCAGAAAGGAATAAGGTGAGTCTGGAAGATCTCTATGTGCCAGAACACTTTCAAAGATTAATAGGTCATGTCAAGAGGACACAGATGATAGCCTAAAAATGTCTCCTACTAACCAAAGTTGAGACAATTTGGTCTCTCAAAAGGAGAATGGCAGCCGCGATTGAATGAACATACATAAAATCTGAAAACCCTAGTGATAGTCAGAAAGGGAAAAATTAATATACTCTGAAAGAAGGTGAAAAAATAAAATGTATATCCAATCAGTCTTGTCATTCAATCATTTTGGTATTACTGACTCATTTATTATATGACAAATAAAATAGAATGTAATGAATATAAATATATCAGTTGGAAGGTATTTTGGACTCAAAAGATTATTCGTAAAAAATCTACTCTATATTGTGACTTCCACTTAAACAAAATCACACACAATACCCAAAATTCAACCGGACATATATTTAAGTATTTTTGAGTTTTGTGGTCCTAAATATAGGATAAATGTAAGATTCTATAATGTGCTCAGATTTTAAAAATTATACTTCTTTGAATTTTATCATGTCAAAGATCTAGACTGTTAAAGTGATATTCCATGAACCTCCTTGAACTTGGATGAGAAAGAATGGTTACAGTTTTAATTTTAACCTCTACACAAAATTTAACATTCTCTTCAGTTAAGTATGTAGTTTACAAGTCACTAGCAAGATCTGTGTATTATATTCCAATTGTTGCAAATTATCACAACATTTTACTTATACTTATTTAAATTGTGTTAATACTGAGATACACAAGGTTATATATCATAACATTTTATAAAAATATTTCAATGAAATTTATTTCCTCTTTAATTCTAGGTACTTAATTTATGCATTTAGCATTCTGAGAAGGGTGCATACACTTCACCAGACTGCCAAATAGGTCAAGGCTTAATTTAAGATCAGATTAGAAACACATTGATGTTTTATCCTACTTTATTATAATATTTACAATAAAGTATAAGTTGTCATTCACAGGTCAATTTGTTTTTGTCTAAAGCCCTGTCCTACCTTGAACAAAAAGCAATTACTTAATTCTTTTTTTTTTCTTTTGAGACAAAGTTTCATTCTTGTCACCCAGGTTGGGGTGCAGTGGTGTGATCTCGGCTCACTGTAACCTCCACCTCTTGGGTTCAGGTGATTCTCCTGCCTCAGCCTCCCAAGTAGCTGGGTTTACAGGCACGCACCACCACGCCTGGCTGATTTTTTTTTTTTTTTTTGTATTTTTAGTAGAGACAGGGGTTTCGCCATATTGAACAGGCTGGTCTCGAACTCCTGACCTCAGGTGATCCGCCCGCCTCGCCGTCCCAAAGTGCTGGGATTACAAGCATGAGCCACCACTTAAGAACTTCGGAGCTGTCATGTAGATGAACACAGCCCAGAGAACCGGGTAGGACTGGACATGGCTTCAAGTACACTGAAGAATGAGTTCAGTTACACAAAAATCCCATTGATCTGAAAATGTCAGCCGTGGTTGCATTTTAGAAGACTTAAAAACTTAGGCTGTGGAGAAATGATGCTATTGCTTCATACACATGTGGACATGACTGCTTATGGGAGGCGGGAGGCTTTAGTGGTGGAACCCCAGAGTTCTCAGAGGCACTTCGCAGGAAATGGAAGAAAACACACTTCAGCTTCCGAACAACAGAAAGTAGAGGTTGGTGAAATTTGGTGAGACTGGCTAAAGTAACAAAGAACTAGAAAATTCATACCTGTGAGGTAGGTGTTGTGCGAGGAATTAATGAAATAGTGAGAAAGGGGCTGAGACATGTCTTCATTCAAATCCAGTTTCTCAGGTGAAACGACTCCGTTTTCTTCTCCACTCAGATAGCGCATGAACCCATCCACTGATATTTGTCCTGGAGGAAATGAAGTTAGAAAGGATGTGAATGCATTCTTTTATGGGTGTCAAGTCGCCTCTTTTTTTTTTTTTTTCCAGAAATATCTTGTAGTGTCCAAGGTAGAAGACATTTTAGTATGGATAAATAAGAGTGTAGGATTATTCTGTTTCACTACAATTATTTCCAAATGTCACAGACAATAGAGAAAACATGTAGTTACATGAGCCCCACCAAATTTTCAGAGGATTTAAATAAACACCAACCTCCTGTTTTCCAATGTAAGACTGGTATTAACTTTATGGATCGGCACTAAAATGTTATCAGTGCTTATCTCTGTGTAATAGAATTTGGGGTAATTTTTCAATTTTTTTTCTTATTAATGTATGTTACTTTATAATCAAAATTATGTACAAGTGGCCTGTAATCCCAGCACTTTGGGAGGCTGAGGCGTGTGGATCACTTGAGGTCAGGAGCTCGAGACCAGCCTGGCCAATATGGCGAAGTCTCCTCTCTACCCAAAACACAAAAATTAACCCGGGCATGGTGGGCGCCTGTAATCCAGCTACTCAGGAGGCTGAGGCAGGAGAATCGCTTGCACCCAGGAGGTGGAGGTTGCATTGAGCCGAGATGGCGCCACTGCACTCCAGCCTGGGCGACAGAGCGAGACTCCTTCTCAAAATAAAAATAAATAAATAAATAAATAAATAAATAAATAAATAATTTACAAGTGGTTTTATTATTTAAAATAATGTTAAAGTGTTTTTGGGGCTGGGCGCGGTGGCTCACGCCTGTAATCCCAGCACTTTGGGAGGCCAAGGTGGGCAGATCACAAGGTCAGGAGATCGAGACCATCCTGGCTAACACGGTGAAACCTCGTCTCTACTAAAAATACAGAAAAATTAGCCGGGTGTGGTGGCGGGTGCCTGCAGTCCCAGCTACTCGGGAGGCTGAGGCAGGAGAATTGTTTGAACCCAGGAGGTGGAGTTTGCAGTGAGCTGAGATCGCACCACTACACTCCAGCCTGGGTGACAGAGCGAGACTCTGTCTCAAAAAAAAAAAAGGTGTTTTCAAATAATGATATTTTTCTCTGAAACAGAAAATAAAGATGCCCACAAATGAGTCTTTCCTGAAAATAAAAATTTGAATGCTCATGAAAAAAGATCTTTAAATCTCATATTAAGAATTATTTTACTTCAGATGGCAGAAATATGACACAGGTAATTTAGTTTACTCAGATTCTATTTAGAAATTTTTCTATGTTGTAACCTTTCTGAGTTGACTAATACTAAATATTGACAAAATTCTTTTGTCAACTTTATTGAGGTATAATTTAAAAAACTACATATTTAAGGTGTACAACTGGATGTTTTGATACACGTATTGAGACAATTTTTTGTCATAATCTTCATAGATACATAGGATCATCTTAAGTATTTTGGTCTATCACTACAATTTGTTTCTTCAATCTTGACAATCAAAGCTTCAAACAACATATTTGCGGGTAGTAAATATGTTGCCAACAAATGTCGGAGGGTAGCATTTCTTTTTTTTTTCTTGTTGAAACAGTTTTTATTACTATAAAAGTGGAATATGTTCATTAAAGAAAAATTGGGAAATGAGATAAACAGAGAGAAAAAATAAAACTTGTTTTGAACATCCCTAACTTTTCTTTCAGAGATAACTACTGCTAAAACATTGGTGTGTATCCTCCCAGAAAAATACCCGTGTGTGTGTATAATTCTTTTATGAAGCTGTAATCATGCATATACACACATACATATAATTATATATATAATTTAGTAACCTTTGTATTAACTGAGCAATATATTATGAACATTTTTAATGTAAAAATAAATTCTATGCGGATATTTAACTATAGCATAAAATATGCAACTATCTATATTTTTATATCATAAAATATAGCAGTATAATATGAAATAATATTCTATTATCATTGATCATTAAAGTTGTTTCTAATTTTTTCACTAGTATAAATGACATTGCATTGACTGCTCTGATGGTTACATCTTTGTATAAATACTTAATTATTTCTTCAGGATGAATTCCCAGAAATAGAATTTCTGATTCAAAGACTTCGCATACTTTTGAGGATTTTAATACACATAACCAATTTTCTTTCTGTTAAAGTCCTAGCAATTGACTTTCACCAATGGTATATAAAAGTATCTGTTTTCCTTCTCTTCTCCCCTACTGCCAAACCTATCAGTAAAATGACAACATTTAACAATTCTAATTTTTACTGATTTAAACATTATTTATTCTTGATTGCTAAGAGATGTGCCATTTGTAAATGGCAAAGCTAGCACTGATTATTTACCACAGTAAAAATCTTTTCACATTCAATACATTTCTCAAGGTGACCGATGACTGCTTTTCCCAAGTTCTGGAAACTCAATAGCTAAATTGCTTTTACTATTGTCCAAGAATAAAAAATAAGAAGGAAAGTTTGTTTTGGCTCTTTTGATGAGAGGAGCTGTTTCGCAAAAGAAAAACCTTCCTCCTGGGCTCGGGCAATCCTCCTGCCTCAGCCTCCCGAGTAGCTGGGACCATAGGCATGCACCACCATGCCCAGGTAATTTTTTTTCTCTGTGTAGAGACAGGGGTCTTCCTATGTTCCCCAGGCTGGTCTTGAACACCTGTACTCAAGCGATCCTCCCACCACAGCCTCCCAAAGTCCTGAGGTTACAGGCGTGAGCCGCTGAGCTGGGCCTGGGCACGTGCTTTTCACACCAGAATCTCTATTTCTCCTTTTCTCTCTATTTCCTTTCCTTCTCCCCTATCTCTTTTCCTTTCACTAATTTCACAAAGGTTTATTGAACATCTACCATACGATAAATGCACAGAAAAATAAAGCACAGTAAAACACAGCCTCTGCCTTCAAAGAGCTCACCGTCTAATAGAAAATAAGGCCATTCACCCCTTGAAACCCAGGCACGAGCACCTTTAAAAGCTGAATGTGCATGTATCTTTGTCGTCCCTGGTGTCTACTAGATGCTTTGTGCACAGTGGGTGCTAAATCACTACTTCTTTTGGATGATTATTGGGATTCAAAATAGAAAATAAATTGTTTTGAAACTGGAAGATCACCAAAGACAGCAGCATTTTGTTTGATTCTTATGTTCTGATTAGGTCAAATGATATGAAATTTGTAATATTTGCTGTTTTTCACCTATGCAAAAGGCAATTTCACACAACCCAATCTCTAACTATAACAATTCCTTAAAAGACAGGCAATAAATGCAAGTATCTTCAGGGGCCAGGAAAGGAAAGTAATGTAACTGCTGGATGAGTGTGCATACTGGGGGAGTCACAGGGTATGGAAAACTGGCAAGTGTATGCTTCTTGTATACACATGCATATCATAGCAATAAAATAACTGTGCAATCTAATACAATGGTTTATTGAACATGAAAGAAGAACAAGAATGAAATGCAAGAATAAACATCCTTTGGTTTGATCAGCAACTTTTAAAAGCAAGAAAAAACAACAACATAGGCCAATAGGGCAGAAATGACAAATGGATTTTAACTTTAGCTCCAAATTCCATTTATTGTTAATGTCTTCTGGGTGCTTGTGTTGAGAAAGATTCTGAACCATGCCTGTGATTAATTTTGATGTCTGCCTTGGGTACAGGATAGAAAAGTGAAGGTGTACACTTCATATATTTGTCATACTCAAATGAAGATATTATAATCAAGGTCAAGGTATAATTTGGAACATGCAAAGAATGTGTATCCAAGTTTTATTTAATCCGGAAGTTGTCAAAGCCAGGTCAAAGGAGGCTATGAGACACTGATTTTATATATATTATATATATATATATATATATATATATATATATACACACACACATATACACACATATATACATATAAGTATATATACACAAATATATGTATGTGTTTGTATGTGTATGTGTTTGTATGTATGTATTTGTATATTTTTGTCAACAAAAACCAAGCAAATAAACCAAAAACCAAAAACACAAACTAGACAGATATTACTAAATTGAATACAGACTAGTTAATACCCTACAGGTCAATTAAACCATAACCTTTTTGGTTATTTTCTCTACCTTTATTATCTCATTGGAATAAAATATTTTAACAGAATTTTTAGTATACATTAAAATCAACAAACAACAATAGTTTGGTGAGTGAGTGTGAGGATAATTTATAATTATATTAAAGAATTTAAAAATCCCTGGTGAAGGAATTTACCTAAACTTGAATAAGAACAAAGATTGAGTTTGAAGGGTAGTTTGGGTAGAATATGATTGTAGACTACCAGTGAGCTTCTTGTAAACACATGCATATCATAGCAATAAAATAACTGTGCAATCAGGGAACTGTAACTGTGAACCAGGGATCAACTTTTCAATCCCAAAGCTTTGCCTTGCTAACAAAAGGAGCAAATGCTGAAGATTTTTGATACATTAAATGATTAGGCAGAGATATGTCAAAGTCAAGGAAAGCCAATAAAATGTAAAGATAAAGAGCAGTCAGTTTGTAATCTTGTAGGTGTCAGCTAAGGGGTCAAGAGTATTTGCAAAAATACAGATGTTTTGTCATAATGAATTAGCCTAAAAAATAGTTCTGACTAGTAAAGACTTGGGGCAGAGAACAAACTCTGAGGATATCCCTTCCATATAACCTTCAGCTGGAATATTATTGTCGCCATTGACTAAAATGCATTAGCCCTTTTCTATCAAACTTGCACTGTTTGTGAAAAATTTACAATTTTTTTTTCTGATCCACTCTGGTCCACTGAGGCACATAGAAGAATGAAAAACCTTGAGAATTAAGATAACAAAACACATTGCTTTTCTAAAAAACTTAGTAACAGCACAAGAAATCCAGTTTTCTTCCATTCTTGCCAGTGGTCACTGGTCAGGGACAAATTCCTTAATTATAGGATGAGTAAACTATATGGATGCCTCAGTCTCCTCTAGCTCTAAAAGTCTATGAATTCAATCAGGCTAATATATTAGGAATTATTTCTAGCTAAATTAAAACAAAATGTCCCACATTTGAGTGAGATTATGAAACAGTAAAAGCAATGCTACTGTTTTCTGAAATAAAATCACCAGAAAGAGAAATTGAGTTCAGAAGGATAAAGTTAGTTGACAAAGGCTAAAAATAAATTACCTTATATATTTTGTTAATAATAAATCAGTATGCCATTGGACATGTCACTCATATAATGGCATTTAAAAGTCTTCATAAACAAACATAGTGTTTGTACCACTTCCAGCTGAAGTACAAAACATGTAAATCCCTCAAGGAATGGAAAAAACAATGCTCCTAAAGATGTCAGAAAGACATCAATTCAAAATTCTGCTATGACGTAATGATACCTTCCAGGGATGCTTTAAAATCATGCTTTAAAACCCTGAAGTGTATCCAGTGACACTCAGCTGGATGCCATCATGCTTGCAAATGCATACAAAGGCCCTTGAGTATTTACTGGGCTATGGGCTACTCTGATGCCTCCTCTACACTCAGGGCCATCCCATTGGCCTTGCAACAATTAAGAATGAGGAAGATCTGTATCCAGAAAAGGGAGCCCTGGAGAACAGAAAGGAAGAATGGTCTAGAAGAGCATTGTGGAGTGGTTCTCTCATCTTCTCAGGTTCGGATCCCTTTATCTATTAGCTTCTAAAAACCTACTTTTAAGGAGACATTCTGGGTTGACTCTCTTGTTTCAGGTACATGGGAAAAGATGTTTTCAGTTCATATTTCTCCAGCAACAGCAAAATGTTTTGAACGCACCCTGGAGCTAGGGTATTCCTTACTGGTGGTTACCAATGAACACGTTTTTACTGAGGGTGCATCTCTATGTGTCAAGGGTTGGAAATAACCAAGGATGTGTCCATCAGAGCATTGCCTTTCAAGAACTTAAAAACATGGCACATAAAATTCATCCTTGATTCCTGTTGCTGATCAGTTCAGGTTTCTATTCATTTAGTGTAGTTCTTAGTGCATATAACACGAAAGAGTTTGGAGTTGCAGCCCATGCAATCAGTTAGTGGACACACTAATTTCATGTTGGCCAGATAGGAACCTTCTTGGGGATGTAAATTTCAGGACTCTTCTGAAAGAAGCAATTCATTTTGATCCAGCTCTGCTCCAGTTTCCTTTCTACCATTCTGCTGCCCAAGTCTGGTTGAAGATGAAGAAAAATCAGTCAGCGTTGATTGCCGATGGGCTAAGTTTAGAAGGAAGGAGTAGGGAGGGGCTGAATGTCTCCAGTGTGTGGAGTCACCAAGGGGAGCTAAGAAGCCACCTGTGTGATTTGCTCTTGATGTGCAGATACCACTTCAGGAGACAAGAATAGGAAAAACAACATGGTCGAGAAGCCAAGGGTTATCTGCTAAATTTAGAATTATTCTATGGCTGCCATCCAGCACCACTTTTACTAGGATGGTTAATAGAAACACGCTTCCTCATGTCTCCTTACTTAGAAGCAAACACCTTCAAATCTTTTAGCAGAAGCTTTTGGTATTTACTTCTGTATCTCAAAATAATACGCATGTATTGCTATTTTTGACTTACCACCATGAAAGATGAGAATATTGCTCTTTCTTATCTCTACTCCTGTAGCACATGTATACATTACTCTCATTCTTTCAGAGACAGTAATACTATAATTTAGTTACAGTGTTCAGTCTTTATGTTATCATGACTACACAGTGTGTTCAGGGTTGAGTCATACAGTAACCTAACAATTATTTTTATCTTCATGCACAATTTTTTAAAATTTTCCCTATAGTTAATTATCTTGTTTTATCATTTGCTTAATTTTTTGCATATATCTCCAGTCCAACTCCAAAGTATCCCCCGGTTAGCTAAATGTTTTTGCAATATGTACAAATATAACAAGTGTTCTCTTGGTTAGATTCTCTTGAAGTCTTTTCTGGAGCCTTTTATCTGCTCCAATCTAGATTGATTAATTTCTGTTTTCTTCACTTCTATTCTGTGCTAAATCTCTTTTATTTATGCCATGTCTTCCCCTTTAATTGTTAATTTTTTAATTTTAGTTAGAGCACATTGGTCAGTAGCTTCCAGAGAAAGCATTCATGAATGTTAAGTTTCTTGAGGCTTGCATGTCTAAAAATGACTTCTTTACACCTGCACACTTGATTGCTAGTTTTGCTGGACACAGTATTTTGGGTTGGATTTTTTTTTAAAAGATTTTTGTGGGAAAAATTTGCTCCACTGTCTTTTAGCTCTGTTAAGAGGTTTGAAGACTTTGTGATTCACCATCCTAAAAACAGGTGTGTGGCCTGTTTTGTTTTGGTTTTTGTCCCTCTGGCAATTTCTAGCACTTTTGGTCCCCGTTTCTTAAAATTTCACAATGATGTGCTTTGGCATAGGTTTATCTATCCCCTATGCTGGGCACTCTTTGAAACCTTTCAGTCTGAAAGCTGTTGTCTTGTTTGGAAAAAAACATGAATTATTATGATAATTTCCTCTGTTTTTTCATTCTGGAATATTATTTGTCCGGATTTTAAACTTTGTTTTGAGACTGAGTTTCGCTCTTGTTGCCCAGGCTGGAGTGCAATGGTGCGATCTCGGCTTACCACAACCTCCACCTCCAGGTGGAGGTGATCAAGCGATCCTCCTGCCTCAGCCTCCCAAGTAGCTGGGATTACAGGCATGCACCACCATACCCCACCCGGCTAATTTTGTATTTTTAGTAGAGATGGGGTTTCTCTGTGTTGGTCAAGCTGGTCTCAAACTCCCGACCTCAGGTGATCCACCCACCTCAGCCTCCCAAATTGCTGGGATTACAGGCCTGAGCCAACATGCCTGACCGGATTTTAAACTTTTATACATTTTCTCTCCAATCTTCCATCTAATTTTTTTGCTTTACTCTCTAAAAGATTTCCTCAATTGTATTTCCACCTTTTTTTGGAGTGCTTTGTTTTTGTGTTTAACAGCCAGTTTATGTTCTCTGACATTTATTGAAAAAATTAGCATTCTGTTCTTTTTCATGGACATAATATATTTGGTTATTTTTCTATGGACATTAATGATATGTGTATACTTAACGAATTCTCACTATATAGTCATTATTTCCTACAAAGTTACTTTTTTCCCTGCTTTTTCCTGTTTTTAAGGAAGTTTTCCTCATATGTCTAGTAACACTTAATTATCTGTTCATATTTCAAGTTGGCAGACTAAAAAGCTGATTGGATTTCTGGATGTGTTTGCTGTGCTTGAAAAGTATGAGAGTTGGTAAGGCATCACTGCAGAGGGATCTTCCTTTGTATCTTTCGGAGTAATCCCTAATATTGATATCTTTAGGTCTTTCCTCTTAGGCAGATTAGATTCTTGGGAGAACTTCTATCTAATCTCTTGCCAGGATAGAGTGAAGGCCTGGATGCCAGCATTCTAGAGCAAGATTGGAGAAGAATGCAGGAGGTCTCAGCATTTTTTCATATGCTTACAATTACTTTATCTTCTTGCTTTCAAAATGGTACTCTTTCTCTCTTTCTTTCTTTCTTTCTTCTCTTTCTTTCTTTCTTTCTTTGTCTCTCTTTCTTCTTTCTTTTTCTCTCTTCTTGAGACAGAGTCTTGCTCTGTCACACAGGCTGGAGTGCAGTGGTGTTATCTTGCCTCACTGCAACCTCTGCCTCCTGGGTTCAAGTGATTCCCCTGCCTCAGCCTCCTGAGTAGCAGGGACTATAGGCACATGCCACCACGCCCGGCTAATTTTTGTATTTTTCGTAGAGACAGGGTTTCACCAGGCTGGTCTCTAACACCTGACTTCAGGTGATCCGCCTGTTTAAGCCTCCCAAAGTGTTGGCATCGCAGGCGGGAGCCGCCGCGCCCGGCCTGTAGCCTGCTTTCATCTGGGCTTTGTGTCATCCTCACACTCTCTGTTTTCCTGACTCCAAAGAATAAATACATAAATAGTCCCTCTAAGGTGGGAGTTCTGATTGTTCCTTAAGTAGCTGTCAACTCTCCTCTTTGTTTTATGCCTTATCTTGAATCCCACTTCCAGAGGAAACAAACATCATCAATTTCTGAGACTTTTAAGGTTTTTTATAAAATAACTTGGATTGGTTCCAGGTTTTCACACGGATGATCAATGATCAGGTTCTCAGATCTGTCAACTGCTGTAAACATATAGCCAGATACCTAAATTATGTAATGGTCATTTCTTATCTATTATCCCTCACCCTTGCCAGATTATGCCCTTAAAAGTCTCTTTTAATGGAGTTTTGGTGTGGTTTCAAGAAAGTTCAGTTAGTTGAATATGTTCAATCTACCATATTTATCCTGAAGTTCCATGGTTCTACTATACCATACTGCAGATATTTTTGTTGATTAAGTTTAAAAGTCAGATCTTACGTTCCTTATCTTTGATCTTGTATTTGTAGGTAATGGTGAATCAGATGGGAAGAGCAGAAGGTCTTCTGCTTTGCCTGGCTGGGACTTATCATGGGATTCCCTGGCTTTCTTTATATTTTTTCTAATGAGAAGTATGCAGTGACTAATCTCTTACCACAGATGGCACCATATGGATGATCTGTCAGGTTCTCCTTGCTATATCTTCTCCCAGGTAGAGTGCCATCAGAGCCACAGAGGAAGCTTGAGCTCCCAGGTACTTATTAGGTGGGAAATAGCTTGGATATCTTGGCTTCTCTTGCCAATCTCACAAGGCCGCTTTTGTGGAACAGGTGCGGTGGTGCGTGCAAGAAGCAGTCAACTCCCTACGTTTCTAAAGGAGTGAACATTGAGTCAAGCTGACCTTTGATTTTCTGAGTGCTGGTGACTTGTCCAACTCCCGTCATGGTGGTCATCAGATATGTTGATACTTGATTCAATCGCCAGGAAATTATGTCCAGATTTGTAATTCTGTACCCTAAGTCTGTCATGTAAAGTTGCAATTTGAATTCAAAACACTGCCATAGAAATTATACCATCAAATCTAAAAAAAATAAGGAGACTTCTAGAACTAAATTCTAAGGTGATAAAATAAATCATGTGTTCAATCCTGTCATATTTGAGAGTTGACATATTTCCTCCTTTATCCTTCACCAGTCCCTCTTACTCTTTTCCAAAACAAGCAGCAACAAAGCATTTGACCTTTTGCTTTAGGGAAGAAAGGGATGGCAGAGAAAGAAGAATGAAAAGGTACATTCTTCTGCTTGGTCCTGAGGACATTCTCATACCGAGGCTTCCTTGTCCTCAAGTCTAGGAGAAACCGCAGACAAGCCTGATGTCCTGAAGAGAGAAGCTCTGTGGCTCCTTTCCCAGAAGGTGTTCCAGAAAGTTGCTGCTGGTATTCCCAAGCAGCCAGAACCTATTGAAGCAGAAGTGTCTAAGTAGATGGGCCTGAGCCTTAGAGAGTTCCTCCTCGGTCCACTCAAGGGTGGCAAAGATGGAGCTGAGTCTGTGGTTATGAAAAGGATGGTCAATGACCAAGACCAGAAAAGAATGAGGTAATGCAGCGCTACCAGCTTGGACCAGATTCCCTCTCTGATGCCCAGGCACTAGGGAAGGCTCTTAGTGCTTAGCCACCACTCTAGGTTATTTCAAAATAGAAATTGAGAGTGAGAGAGAGAGACTTGTTTTGAGTGCACTGAGAGTCTCCTCAAATATTACCACAACATGAAGTCTTTCTTGAGTAGCCCATACAAATAGCAATCTCTCCTGCTGGCACTCCTGTCTCATATGCTGTTTATATTTCTCCATAGCATTTATCACCATCTGTCATTGTACTAATAGATATATTTGCTGGTATGCTAGTTTTGGTCTCTTCATCCAGGGATTGTGAGTTTCATGAGGATGGAGTGTCTTAGTTTGTGTTTCCCTTGAAGGAAATGAGACAAAACATGTACTTGAAGGTGATCCCATTTAAGGGGGGAGGGAGCTGGAGTATTTATACCAAGTCCCATCAGTCACTGTTTGAGGACTGCTTCCGGGGGATAATTCCCCAATACTCTTTGGCCAACTGCGCCCTTGGGAAGAGGGGGCTCTGGCAGCTAAAGAGAGCTGTCAGCAAAGAGATGCAGGCACTCAGTGGGAAGTCCAGCAGACAGGCAGTGTTTCTCTAGTTCACTGCTGATCTTTAGAACTCACAACAGTGCCTGGCTTGTAAATGCTCAACAAATATTAATTGAAAAAATGATTATTTTGTCCCCAAATATTAACATTTATGTATTAATTTATATTGTGAGTGGTTTTGTGCTTCATCTTGGCAACCAGATATCTCAAACGATATTGTATCATAGACAACTAAAAACGGCAATTCCAAATTCAGCCGTAAATGACACTACAAAGGAAGGACTAAGAAGAAAACATCGAAGAAATGCAATGAACAGCTCACAGAACAGAACCAAGAGGCCTCGCTGGCACTGACTAACGGTACCCTGAAGTCCAACAAATATGCGGAAGAAAGACAGGGATTTGGGGGGCTGAGTCCTAACAAAGTCTTAGAGAGATTGAAAGTTTTATCCTTACACCCTACCTCTGCCTAGAAGAAGTGCTAACCAGACAGCATTAAATGCTCAAAGCTATCAAAATAGACTGGAAAAGGGGACTAGAATAATTCAGAATAAGCCAAATCAATCCTTAAGTGACAGCAGAGTTGGCTGTACTTCAAGGTATTGCACATTGCGAGCCACCTGCTCCATCAGTGCCATCTCTTCTTAGCTTCCGAATTTGCTCAGCCCTGGTAGAATTTCCTATTAGGTTCACAAGTAAAGTATCTGAAATAATTTAATAGGCTCTCACTTTCCACTGAGTTCATGAATGTGACTTTATTTATTTATTTATTTATTTATTTATTTATTTATTTATTTTTGGGATGGACTCTGGCTCTGTCGCCCAGGCTGGAGTGCAGTGGCACGATCTCGGCTCACTGCAACCTCTGCCTCCCAGGTTCAAGCGATTCTCCTGCCTCAGCCTCCTGAGTAGCTGGGATTACAGGCGCGCATCACCATGCTAGGCTAATTTTTATATTTTTAGTAGAGATAGGGCTTCACCATGTTGGCCAGGCTGATCTTGAACTCCTGATCTCAAGTTATCCACCCACCTCAACCTCCCAAAGTGCTGGGATTACAGATGTGAGCCACCGTGCCCAGCTGAATGTAACTTTAAATAAGGTCTGGTAACACAAGCTGATGCCCCTCATTTAACTGAAATTTCTGAGCTCAGTAGCAAGTCCTCAGCACGTAATTCTCTCATTACACTTTGCATGAGCTCTGTGAATCAGGGCAAGAAAAAAGTACATAGGGCATAGTCAAAAACTAATCCCTAAATACAACTCATGGCACATTGCTAAGGTCTCTGGAAGGGCCCCCACTGAGGCTCTTCCCTGCTCGGTATGCATATCTGGATGGTTAGCTAGGAAATGCCCACATCATGGCATCAAAGAACTAGCATGGAACTGCTCCTGAGCTAGTCCCAAAAGCAGTTTAAGGCAGCAGTAGCCAAGTGCTAAAGGAAAAAGGATCAAGGAAAGAACATGTGGCAGGCCATGCTTACACATGCAGTACTAAAAAAAAAAAAAAAAAGAGTATAACAGGAAAGTGCAAGGAAGAAGAGAGCCTTAGAAGAGTTTCATGATTTAAAATATTTCCAGCATATTGTTTAACAATCTTTTATGATATGCTACTTGCTATATGCAAGTATTAACTCATTTTATCCTCACAGTAACTCTGTAAGTGGGTACTTTTATGACTATTTTATAGATGGGAAACCTGAGGCAAGTAGCTTGCTCAAGGTTTGTGCCCAAGCAAAGATAAGGTTGCTCAAGGTTATACAATTCATAAGTGAGTAAGTTGGGATTTGAGCCCAGGCAGTCAGTCTTTGTGTTTCATGCCATTAAACATGATGCTATGCTGCTTGCTGTAGACATCACACATCATCTAGTGATAGAAGAAGGTAAATAACAATAATTATCATAATAATGGGAGCTACTATTACTGAGCATTGACCACATGCCAGGCATAGAAATCCTATGAGAGACGTACTTTTAAATTACCATTTTCAGTTGAGTACACGGAGGCTTAGAGATGTTAGCAACTTGTCTGAGGGCACGGGGTTATTTGGTGTGAAATGGATCTGGATATCATGCCTGGGCAATGGAAAGACAGATAGTGGTGGGTGTGGTTGATGGTGCTTATCCACATAACTTTCCTAACACTGGCCTGGATAGGGGGCATGGATGATGGGAAGGAAAGGTATCCTGCCTTCTTGGCAGTTGGCTTCAATCTGGGCACTCTGCATTGGTCCTAAAAATAATCCTAAATGTGACCAAGGCAGAGTTTTCCCATGATTTACTTATCTCTCTAAAACGTGTTACTTTAATCTTTCTGTGTAAAGAAGCTGAGCTCCGGTGGACAAATGACCCATCTGGCAGAGGCGTGAGGATTAGCTCTTTGATTTGAATTTGTCTATCAAGGTCCAAATTCTTTTCCCGACTTAATTTACATTCTAATCTCTGCAAGTAATTTAAAGATGTCCTCTAGCATTTTTATCCCTCAACCCATGAATCTGATTTTTAGGAAGAAAAATGAAATATAACAGAAAACTTGTCATGCCAACATGAGGACAAGAGAAATGCTGAACACAAGAAGTGACATTGTTTTGTGGGCTTTGCAAAAAATATGCAGGTTAGCTTTAAAAAATAAAAACAGCTAAACACATGCAAATAACATCTTCAGAGCTCTGCAGCACAGAAAAATCTACAAATTTTGCCTTGGAAGACAGATGGCCCATAAATCCACGTAGAATAATCACAGTCAAGATGGGAAAACTGGACAATGTGTCTGCCAGCTTGCATGGACACCAGCCTCCTTCTACTGTGCCAAATGCCAATTAGGCAGGATCTGGCACTCAGATGTTTGGATGTCACTGGGATTAGGTGGTTGAGAATCCATTCATCATTGCTCAATCTTCACTCTTAATGCAATAATACCAGAGCATACTGGAAAGCTACCAGCCCAGTGGTTTAGCACCTCCTTAAATCACTTCTAAGCACAGCACTGAAAAGCAATTTCTCGGCTCACGTTTTTTCCTGGTGCTTTGGCCCTTGCGAATTCTGCTAGATCAGCTCAGAGAAAGTAAGTGCAGATGGCATTAATATCCCATGGCTCACCAAAGTCTATTTGCCTATTTTAAGAAATAATCTAAATGTTCCCTTCTCAGTTATCTTTGCCCGGGCACAAACTTTCCTATCACACTGGCCAGCTAACTGTGCTTTTGTACATTACATGAACTTCACTGGCTTCTTTCATTATTTTACCATTTTTCCCCTAAATCTGGAGTCAGTATGTTCTGCACCTGTTTTCATGTGTTATTATTTTATCTTAAGTTGAAAAGTGTCATATATTGTTATTCCATCTTGATTGCAAAAACTGTGCTATTACCATAACTATGTGCAAATACAGCTCCAAGATATGGTGTGATAATGGCCCCTAAATGGCTATGTACTCTTCTCAAAAGCTCCTGCAGATTAGCTCTTCACGCAGTGCTCACAGCTTTCTGTGTGCTTGCAGTTTCCCTGTATTAAGTTGTACTATTTGATGTGGTTTTGTGTGAAAATTCTCAATAATAACACCTTACTTTGATTTAGCACTTTCCGTTTTTCAAAGTATTCTCACATCTGTGAGTTTATTTACTCCTCATCATTCTATTTGGTAGGCAGAAGACAGTTTTATTATTTAACATGACAGATAAGCAAAGTTGTCCCAAGAGAGATTAAATAGCCCCTTTAAAATGACATAGAAAGATAAGAACAGAATCCAGATTAGAACCTGTCTCTCTTAAGTACAGCTTTAGAGCTGTGTTTGGAACATGGATTTGTATAAGTACTGATTTATCATTTAAAATTAGAGGTTCTCAGAGGGTAGGAAACCAATTCCATTGCCTTTTATGAGTACACTGTCACAGTGCTTTATGAGAGGAGACCCTCCACAGTGGTTCCTGACCGTAATGCAAGGGAGGAAAAATGTTCTAGCTCCTTCACCAGAATGTTATGTTCCTTGATCAAATTGGACATTGGCGTTGTATGAGCAAGGACCATGGCCTTCACTTTATTTACATCTCTTCCATAGTCTAGCATAAATGCAGACCCAGAACATAATTATGTTCTCATTAATGCTTTCTGATGAGCTACTTAAAACATGTTATCTTTTAGTGCCCTAAGTGCCTCTTGTCTCTCATTTGGCCCTCTGCTCTGCAGCATAAAGCACAGCATGGAATGCCAGTTTCCTCTTCAGATGCCTTCAGCACATCCTTCCCCACTGTACTGACTACAGAGGAGGTTCTACTACATTGAGAGCCCAGATAGGTGAAGAATGGTGCCTTTTCATTGTCTTACTCAAGGGTTGACACAGGTAGCAAGACTCAAAAAACTGTGTGCTGAGTAAATAAACCAACGAGTAAGTCAAGAATAGCATGAAGGCTTCCATTCAGGTCACAAATGTTACATTTTTAGACTTACCTCTCAACTCATTCCCAAACAGTATAACAAGTCAAATGTCTGGACCATCCAAAGACTCGCTTTCCTCATTGTAAAATGGGAATAATAATATGCACTTGAAGACTTGTCTGAGGTTTTGTACAAGAAATAGAAAAGCTGAAAAATGTACCATGGCAATTTGCAGGTAAAGAGCTTAGAGCAATTCCGGAAACTCCCCACAATGTCAATAAACAAAACTTTCCTTTTCCTTCAAGCTTCCCTCGCACATAGTTATTCAATAGATATTTGCTAGATGAATGAATGGAAGTATATTTACGAATGAATGAATATTAGCTAGATGAAGAAATGGAAGTGAATCACATTATAACTTGTTTTATAATTATTTGTGA
Organism: Homo sapiens; assembly: GCF_000001405.40. Taxonomy (NCBI): domain Eukaryota; kingdom Metazoa; phylum Chordata; class Mammalia; order Primates; family Hominidae; genus Homo; species Homo sapiens. The sequence goes on along the minus strand of NC_000020.11, from coordinate 8,669,098 downwards.
TATTAGAATTTTCTCCTTGTAATTATAGGCTCCTTGAGAGCAAATATCTTATCTGGATTTTGTTCCCCTTTCTAGCAGTTCATAAGTTAGATGGGTAATACATGATTGTTAAAGTGTCCACGCAACTGCATTAGGTATATGTTAGAATAAAGAAATGCGTTCAATAAGCATCAGGTACTTTGAAGGATCTCTTTTTTGATATGCTGGAGATTCTTGTTAAAGCTGCAAAGTGAGGTGGGAATATCCTTTTTATAGTATCGTGAATAGTGTTTTGCTGGTAATAATATCATAGCAGACTGTACTGGTGCTCCAGGAGATACAGCTGGGCTGGACTTGTATCTGCATCTCTGCCTGATGGCTGACTTTATGTGGTGCAGGCTGGAAAGGCCTAAGAATTAACACTTTCTAAGAGCATCCTCCAACAATGGCTGTGGTTGGGAATGACTGCCTTGACAACACATTTTTTTGTAAGCTGCTTTCTCTTCCTCGTTCACACTCCCTACTGCCCTACTAGTACTTCCTGGAATCACCTTCCAAACTCTATGGACTTGAATCTTCTTTCAAAGTTGGCTTCTGGGAAAACCCTCAACAAAGACATATAGCCACATTGTTCAGAAGCATTTTTTGGGCTCATTTTCTACATATAAGGTAGAATGCTTAGGTAAGAAGCTTGATTTTGTCCATCATTCTCAATTAACTCTCCTGTTAAAATAATGCTATCCCTAGCTTGGAGATAATCTTTGCTGTCACAGCTGGCATCCTAGAGACTGTAGTGATTCAGAGTTAAGACAGACCTTCCAGAATCTCCATAAGAGATTTTTGAAATCCTTGGTCACTGTCCACTTCCTGGCAGGATTCCCTACTATGGTACATTTTTCAGCTTTTCTATTAAGGGTTAGGGTGGAAGGTCCATCCCTCACTTAATCTGGTTTCCCTGTGGTTTGCTTTTTTTTTTTCTGCATTCGACCTATTTCCCTCCCACTTATCTGTTGTATCACATTGACTATTGACAAGACCCTGGATAATGCCGAAGTTAGGAGCCAAACGCCTGTGGCCTCTCTCCCTCCCAACACAGTACAACCTGCCAGGCAGTTTTGACTGAGCCAGAGTCCCCTCCACCCCACCCCACACGCACTGCAACCTGCTCCTAGACCCTGCTGACAAGGGGAAAGCTATACTAGCCAACAATTGTCAATGCTGTGTTCTGCTGGGAGGTCACATCTAGGGGGAAAGAAGCCATTCTCTGCTCTGTCCCAATAGCTCTCCCATGAAATGGCAAGGCACCTCTGAAAGGTGTGATGAAGGAAAGAAGTTTTAACAAGACTCAGCAGACTATGGGGTTGATGAGGCTACCAAGCTCACTTATCTATCCTGTGGACTGGCATTTGATTTTGCCTTTTACTGTTTATATTTTTCCTGTCTGGTTATTTTCTGAACAAAGGACATTTCAGCTGTGAGTAGACAGGGCTGTGACTTTCTGGCCAGAGCTGTGGGCCTGAGCAGACACTGAGGTCACTGAAATAAAGGAGAAAAGAAACAGAATTCCTAGGCCAGGCCTTTGCCTTTCCTCAGGCCCAGGCCCTGCCTTCTGGGAATAAAGGAAATGTAATAACGGAAAGGAAAGCAAAGGGAGTTGCCAAGTCAACCAATGAACAATAGATCCACAATGACGATCTTGAAAAATTTTTTTTTCATTCTTAGGCAATCTGAAATATTTCAGAGAAGTCTATGAACATACCAAACATGAAGTTAAGAAGAACTTGGAATGCACTCAGGGACGACAATGCCATTTTTCTGTAACCTTCCGCAGAGGTTAGAGAGTCAATAGGAGGAATTTAAATGAGATTTCGATCAATAAAATCCTAGAGTAGCTTTTCAGCAGCTTTTTCAGTGTAGTAACTTAATTAAGGCATGAAAGCATTGGCTACATCATATAGTTTTCCTCTGTTTTTGTCTTTTGGGAGAAAATTGATCTTATTTGTGTTGACTTTGTTGATTCACGTCGGTTCTGTTTCCTCAACTACTTTGTAGGTAATCTATATAAAATGACTTAAATGGATGCCACCTTAATTGTGAGGCAGATCTTTAAACTAGTCAGTATTTCCTTCAGAGGAGTGGTTTTTAAACTGAGTATCCTGAATATCCCTGGGTTTGGGCAGACATCCCTGCAGAGAATGGGGTAGGTCAGGAGGAGAAAGAGTGATAGGGCAACAGCCACCATCACCTGTACTCCAGGCTCCCCTCTATTCCACCAAGACAGCACCTTTAAAGCTTTTCCCTACACATTGGCCTTTCTCACGAGACTTTGTTAGAAGAAACAAACAAAGGGTGCTATGTCTAGGACCAGCTTGGAAACCACTGCTATAGACATCGATCACTAACTTCTAAATGGTCTGTGTTGCAACTTTTTTCTAAGCAAGTCCTGTTGGAGTGCCTAGGTGGATGTCTGGAGTAGCGGGACAAAGAAAACATGGTCTTGGTCCCAACATTGCCATTTCTGCAAACTGCCTCTTCTAATAAACTGACAGTTTGACTAAGCTAAATGGCTAAGTCCTTTGTAGACTGGAAATCTATGATTGGAGGCCACTGGCCAGGGCTTCGTGATTGGAAACAACGAAGACAATAACGTGATAGGTTGGCAGGAATGATGAGGCACAGCCTCTTTCCATTTTTTTTTCTCTCAATGCTCAGCAACTCTGACCTTACCCATCTTTCACTTTTGATTCCCTTAAGGCCATTTATAGAAAAGTGCTTGTCTTAGTTTGGGTTCTTCCAAAAACAGGATCTGAGACAAGGATTTGAGTGCAAGCACCTTTTTTGGGAGTTGACCCTATGAAACAACAGTAGAGAAGAGAAGTGAGACAAGAAGGAAAGGCAGCTAAGAAGGAGAAGGGTATCAGGCAGGTTACAGCTGTGGGCAGTTAGGGCTCAGTCTCACCGAGGAACTCTGGGAGAAAGCAGAGAACACACATCAGAACTTTGCAACCCAAGGGGCATGGAAGATAAGGTATTTATTCTTCAACTACTCCTGAGGCATGCAGTCCCTGGGAATTGTAGCCTGGCTGTGGATGGACTGATAGAAGGCCCTGAAGAGTTGCCAAGTGTGTAGGTGGCTGGGTTGGAACCATGATTGCCAAGGGACATGGGAATAGCACAGGTGTCTGCTACATTGCTGGTCTCATCCCATTTTACAGATGAAGAACCTGAAGCTCACACAAGTCAAGTCTCTTGCCTGAGGTTTACTGGCTTCATCATGACACTATGCCAGCCTATTTCTTTAATTAGGGCATGTTTGATCTTTCAAGGATGGAGAATAGAGATTATAATCATCACCATCATTAGTTTTTATAACTTCTACCTAGTAAAGCGAAATGGTGCTGGAAAAATATGATTCAAAAAATTTACTAGGAAATTGAAGTGATAATGAAGTAAATAGTAAGAGTCAAGTGTACATCCTTACACTTATGACTATAATTATAATTCCATTTTAATAAAAAGGTATAGAAAAGAATGATTGAGTCAGAAAGGACCATTTGTGCACAGATGTGACATGCCATATTTTTTTCAAGTTTCATTAATAAATTATTATACTTATCCTTAATTGCAGTACATTAAATAAGGCTGTTAGATGAGAAACAGCAATGTTCAGGAATGCCTCAGCCCAAGGCTCTGAGTCTCACTTCTAGACTCATAAATGTTTTAAAATAATTTGGCATAAATGCCAATGATCACTTTTCATTAGTTCAGGTAAATGACAATTTAGCCAACAACAATAAATATATGTAACCTCTTTAACAAAAGCATCTTATTTAATTCTTCCAGTAATTCTGTCAGGAAATAATTTCAAAGTTGAGAAAACTAGGGAGCAGGGCTAGTCAAAGAAGTTAAATGGCTTTATAAGGCCAAATAAAAAGTCATAATGAATGAATGATTTCTGAACTAGTTTTAGTGTGATCTACTCTTTTCATTTGCCAAGAGACCACTATTCCTTCCTTTAGGAAGCACATCCTGGTTGAATTTTAGGGAACCATCTCTCTCCAATTGTCGGTCCGTGTGGTTTGTGCTTTAGGTAGTTGACCCCTTATGGGCTCTAGGGGGAGTCATATGACTTAAGCCTGTCCATTTATTTTTATCCCATCCTTCAGGACACTGTGATTCTAATTTAGAAGTGGCCTTGAGTGACCGAAGCCATGCCCTGGATTCTGGGACTTTCACAGGAACCATGAGTAAAAAGGATTTCTGTATACTAGGACTGGTGAGCTATAGGCTTGGCGCTGCTGGTGGCTGTCTTATCATTCAGGAAAATCTGCCCAAGAACTAGAGCCAGTATGAGAAAATGATGAGAGATGAAAAAAGACAATTATCGATAACATGACTTGAGCTCCTGGATATAGTCATGCCTGAAACCATTAACACCTTGACTTTTTGCTTATATGCACAAGCAAATTTATTCAGTGCTTTAGTTTGAGTTAAGTTTCTGCCGTTTTTCAACTGAAGGAGTCTCAACTAAAACTACAGTTTTCAAGTTTCCCAAGTCCAGTCTCTTTCTATCACTCTCAGCCTATTTCTTGGTGTTGACAGTGAGAGAATATAGCTTAATTGTATAATACTTTAAATAAAACTATATTGAAAATGCAATAGGGTTTTTTTTTCCTACTGATACAATCATTATTGGCTTAGGTCTATTTAAAGGAAAAAAAGCTAAAGCACTTGCTGTATCTGAACTTTGCCTAAAACCAAATTGCTTCGCCATTATAATCTTGAGTTCATTTCAACTATTAAACTATTAACTCAGCGAGTAGTGATCACTAAAAGGGATTATAGAGCTTCATTTTTATGACTTAATTACAACAAAGTGGGGACGCTTTTGTATAGTATACCTTATAAAAATTTAGGAGGAAGAACTGATGATAAAAGGAATGTAGTTTGAAACATCTGCTATTATAATCTGCTACATTAATTCAATTATTTAACAAACACTCATGAACACCTGATCTCCACAGAATAAAAGCATGAAAAAAATTACTGCTTTCTTTTGGTTTGGCAGTTTATTTAAGTAAAATTTGGACTTCATTTATAGATATATCAGTTGAAGTCTGCATTCTGTTACCAAAGGTACCTATAGAGCTATTCTATTTTTCATGCTAATTTTACTCACTGTCTTTCATCTGAAGAGTTTAAGTGATAAAAAATAACTGTTTTGGAGACACTGATCTTGAAAGTACGATATTCATGAACATTTTGTTTGGAAGAGGCAGGGGTCATTGCATATTCCTGTGCCAGGAATATTTAAGTCTACAGTGCAAACAAGATGGAAAGGAAAAAACTTTTGCTGACCAGAGGCCATGGCATTTTTCAATGTGTAATTTTTAAATAGTAAAAATAAACCACACTCCCAGGAGAATAGTATCCTCTGTGACAAGCTTCAAATTCTCTCTTTCTGGAACCCACATACATGACCCATTTGGCCTTAGACTGCACAGAAATCCTCTGATTATTTATAACCAATATACACATCTCCCAAAACAGAAATTCCAGCATGGAGATGTGGCTGACATGCTAATTACAGCAGGTCCTCAGAAGATCAAAGTCTATTGTCTCTTCTGGAGTTTCATTTCATACTTCCATGTGTCACACTTTTAGTCAGCTAAACTATGGTCGGCTTTGGCATTTGGGCTTTTGGTGACACTAAAAATTTTTCATTTAATTTCAAGTCTATCTTTTATGTAAAAATTATGTAAAATGTACATAAAAGCTAAACAGCATATGTCAGGTTTGTATATTATTTATTTGCTTAACACCTACTTTAAGATATGTTTATTGATATCAGAGACTGTGTGTGTGTCTCTGTGTATGTGTATACACACACAACTATATGTTGTGTGTATATCTATGTTGTGTGTATATATATGTTATATATATGTTTATATTCTATTATGTATATTATGTGTGTATCTTATGCTTAGCATTTTATAACAAGTATAGGCTATATGGAAGTGCCTTTCTCAGGTAAATAAGACTCAATTTCCACATCAGCACTGAGATCAACACCAATTTAACTAACACCTGGGCACATCTGAAAACAGTTAAAATGAAAGCAGCAGAAGAATAAATTATAATGTAATACTAAACTTCCCTACTTATTTTCTTATGTGTTTATTGATCCAAATGTATTAACTACTTGACTAAAAGTTTAAAGTTTTAAAGTCTGTAGCTCATCTGTGTTAAAATCAATTCAGCCCAAATGTTATCTCTTCCATGAACTGTCCCCTACAGGAAGAAATCTCATTATCTTCATGCTTAATGCGCCTTCTCTTTACTTCTTAGAGCTTTGCTACTCGGTGTGGGCCTTTGCTAAGCATCTTCTGCCTCACCCAGTAACTTGTTAGAAATGCAGGATCTCGAATCTGCATTTTAACAACGGCTCAGGTGATTCAGGTGCACGTTGGATTTCAAGAAGTAATATTTATATATTATATTAATTATAGATATTAGATTATTAATATATTTAGATATTATGTTAATAATATATATTGTAATTATATGATAAATAATTATATATTACACATAATTATAAAAAATTATATATTATACATAATTATATAATAAAAAATTATATATATATTATACATAATTATATAATAATTATACATAACACATAATTATATAATAAATAATTATATATTATACATAATTATATAATAAATAATTATATATTATACATAATTATATAATAAATAATTACATATTATACATAATTATATAATAAATAATTACATATTATACATAATTATATAATAAATAATTATATACATAATTATATAATAAATACTTATGTATAGAATTATATAATAAATAATTATATATAGAATTATATAATAATTATATATAATATAGAATTATATAATAAATAATTATATATAATATAGAATTAGATAATAAATAATTATATTTAATATAGAATTAGATAATAAATAATATATAATTATATATAATTATATAATTATTTATTATATAACTGTATAATAAATATAATAAATATATAATTATATATAATTATATAATAAATAATTGTATATTATATATAATTATATAATAAATAATTATATAATTATATATAATTATATAATAAATAATTATATAATTATATATATATACACTTTTAAGAGGAGTGCAAATCTCTAGGGGCACAGGGTTTATCTCTGGGTCTGTCACTGTGTGTAGCCTCTTGCCTTTCACTGAAGATTTATTAAATACTGAAGTTATGAATTACTTAACGTAGGTTGGCTTGTAAGTTTGAGTTTGTAAGACTAGAACACCAGAGACTGTGTGCTTCCTCTAGTACTATTTGGCCTGCTTTAAACAGTGTTAATAACAATTTAGGCCATTTACTGAATGACTAGTGTGCGCTGAACTAAACATAAACAGGCACAATCTCCCTTTATCCTAAAACAAGGCAGCTATCATGAGTCCGTTTTTGTGTACATGCCTTAAAGCTGAAGTGACCCTACTAAGGTCTTTGTAATTTGACTTTTAACTCCTCAAGAGTTGAATTTCTTTCATATGGATTCTAGAGAAGAAGGAGCTACAAATACAGCCAGCCAGAACTTCTGAACGGGTGCTGGAGTCCCCTGGGGTGACTGAGGATGCACGTTATACGGTAGCAGGTGGCTGGCCCTTTAGCCATATTCTAGCCGTTGGACTCCAAAGCCTCTGTCCTTCCCACGTGCTAGATAAGGCTTTAGGTAGAGACAGCATTAGCCAAAATTTTTCTGTACAGAGACCACTAGGCAATATTCTTAAGTGATAAGTTGGGGCACAAATGCTTTGGGTCACTGATTAGATCACAACTACAAGTCTACATTAAGGATTTCATCATGAGCAGGTGCATCTTCTAGGTGCTGGGGAAAACAGAAGAAAGTTTAAGGCCCAGAAATCATGGGATCTCCTAGAAAAAATGGACAACGACACCTGAGGAATGAAAACCAACATACTACACTTCAAAACATTGAGAAGAGTTAACACTTATTTATCACATTACACAGGCCCAGATTCTTCTTTCCAAATGCTTTGCAGGTATTATTTAATTCAAATCTATGAAAAGCGTATCAAGAATTCTTCTGTCCTTAATTTTGAAGATGAAATAATTAAGGCATAGAGAAGTTAAGCATAAGGCTATGAAACTAGTGAGGTGGATCTCAGCTTTGAAACTCAAAAGTGGAACCATTATTCTATGTTGCTTCTTTATACTGCTATTAAGGTTGACACAGAGGTTTTGTGATCAATGTCATATTAAGGTATAGAAAAACAGATAAAGTTGCCTTTAAAAATATTTAAATTTTTAAATATTTTGTGTGCCTCTTTCGATTTGAAATTCATAAAATGGCACTAAATAATTTTGCAAATGCTAGGAGACATCATCTTAATTTCCATTAGAATCAAAATCAGTTTTTCTAGGATTATGGGGTTTTACAGTAATCTATCACAATTTTTTCTCTTTGTACCCTCTACATCGTGCAAGTCATCAGAGGATGATGTATGGAGGCATTGGATACCAGCTGAAGCCTGTGCCATCAGCAGTGTGGTGTGAAGGAAGGAGAAAAGGAAAAGGCTTACACTTTGGAGTGCTTCACTGGTTTCAGAAAAGCTTTTTGTTTTCCTAGTGTCGTGGGCTAACTGATTTTTAGAAGTGTTGTTGGATTTGTTATAACAATGTGTTCGTTATTTTTGGAGAAGTTTGGATTTTAGAAGAGAACTCCTAAGCTACATGGGCAAAACCTCCAAGATGTTCCCTGCTTCATGATAAGGGGAAATCTCATCTCTTGTGTACTAGGGAAGGAAGGGCAACCTATTTAAGTAGGTTTGGAGGGGCAGGCCTGGCCATGCCAAGACATACTGTTGGGCTAGTTGTTTCCTTTAACTAATCTCACCTTCACAGCATCAGTGAAAATGATAACAACAACAAAGGCAAAGTTCTTCACCAAGAAAACAAATGAAAACTAAAAAATTGCATCTAAAAATTCCCAACTAGTAGCATGTAGAATATGATTAATAGATTTTTAGATTTTACATTTATACTTCTTCTTCTTCTTTTTTTTTTTTTTTTTGAGACAGAGTCTTCCTCTGTCACCCAGGCTGGAGGGCAGTGGTGTAATCTCGGCTCACTGCAACCTCTGCCTCCTGGGTTAAAGCAATTCTCCTACCTCAGTCTTTTGAGTAGCCGGGACTACAGGCATGCGCCATCATGCCAGACTAATTTTTGTATTTTTAATAGAGACAGGATTTCGCCATGTTGGCCAGGCTGATCTTGAACTCCTGACCTAAAGTGATCCACCCGCCTTGGCCTCCCAAAGTGTTGGGATTACAGACGTGAGCCACAGTGCCTGGGCCCATTTATACTTCATGATTTCATTTTCAATTTAGAGGACCAGTTCCAGATTAAACACAATGGATTAAAAGACTTTTAAATTTACTTTTATGATAATCATTCTTATTGATGACCATAAGCTTGCTAGAGCTATTTCTGTTACTTTAGAAAATGCCTGCATATTAATATATAATTGATTTCTTTTCAATAATTGGTTAATTGTACTTTATTTTCCTCCCTATGGAATATCTAGGCAATCTGCAATAACATCAGTGATAACACACTAATTTTCTTGGTGAAGATATTTCAATCCAGATGAGAGTTAGTCTTCTCAGTGGAAGATCTTGTTCAGGGACAGTGCTGCCACATATAGTTGAAAATTTGCAGTAATTACATCTTCATGATCTTATTTTGGCAATTCATTTTCCCAGAATCAAAAATATAAATTTCTTAAAAACTTCCAGGTAACTTAGAGCTGTCTTTGGGCTATCAATTTTTGGATTGTTTTGTATTTACAACACTAGGCTTTTTTACACAGACAGCCAAATTTTAGACTATTTCCCCAAGTAGAAAAATTTATCAGATAGTATTTATCAGATAGTATATACTGGAAAAAGATAAGGGTCTCACAGACTAAATATTCCCTTCAGTTTTAGAACGTTAGAAAAACTTGTGGGCCACTTCACAGAACTTACTAGAAAAAGACAAAAGGGTAACCTAAAGATAGTGATTTCCTGTATGAAATATGCATTCAGTCACTGCGTGAATTTGAAACAAAATAAAGGATTAGACATTTTAAAAATATGTTACATGCATCTATACATATAACAACAATGACAAAAAAATCACACACCAAAGTTTAAAGAAAAACCTAGTGCACTGAACCACCAAGTGATTTCAGACCGAAAGGAATGCCTTGTAAACAGAGGAAACTAACCTAACGATCACTGGTGTTCCTAACTCCCAGCGTGTGACTACCCCCAATCAGAAACAAGAGCTTCCCTTTGGTGTGAAAGAAAGTACTGACCTTTTCTGGCGAGGCTGTTGTTGGGTTCATACTTCTCAATCAATACTTGGACTTGCTCTTGTTTTAGAGGTGGATAAAGTATTTCATTAAGCCGAGGATCTCGCTGCTTAAGGTTGATAAAATCCATCATCTGATCAACGGTAAGATATGGTTTGCTTTTTGCACCACTAAAAACAATGAAAAACCAAGCAATAAGAATTTTTTAAACTAAGTTTCATTCTAATATTTGCATTTAACTCTAGGGAAATAAAATCTTATACTTGATAAGAAAATGCTATATTGAAACTCCTATCTTGCCCTGAAAACACTGTGCTTCTCCACCATAATTTCTATACCTCTATGGGCTACAAATATCTTGTGCAATTGCTACCGCTAAAACCCAATGCTCTTGCAAAATACCAAATGGGTAAGAAAACCCACAGTGGGAAAACACTGCATCATGTGCATAAGGGTGCACCACTCTAAACCGAACACAGAGGTTTTTTTATTATGACAGTAAATTTTTGATTTAATCATCCAACTCCATATATCTGTAATCATTTAAAGATGTATTTATTGTCATTACTTAAAGTAAACAACCCGTTTGAGTGTTTTTAAAAGTTACAGTTAGGCTTCAACAAGAGAGTATAATTCCTCAACATATTGTTCAAACTTCCCATTTCAATTGTATTGACCATCTAAAGACAAATTCAGTGGTACAAATGTTGCAGATGTTCAGTAAATATATGATGGCAATGAACAGCACAAAGCAAGAATATGCAATGTCATTTTCAGCAGTACTGTTTACCTGTCTTCCATTTGAAGAAATCCTTATTTTGTTTACCACATTTTGTATTGATTTTCTGTCATGTGGATTTCAGTATTTTAAGAAAGGTAAACTGCTACTTTCCCCACATTTGCCTTAGTGCTTTGGTTTCTTTCTTTTTTTTCCTTTTTTCTTCTAATCTTTCAAAAAAAGGTAATGCCTTGATATAAGTTTATAATTTCTAACAGAAAAGCAAATAATTCTTCAGCTGAGAGGGTTCTTAGTAATCCAAACTTCTCATGTCGCTAATGTGGCTCAGAGAGATAAAATAACTGGTTCCCAATCCAGAGTTCTTCCTGCGACATGAGTCTATTTCTGCTAAGCCAAGATGACTCCCTGTTCTACCCATAATCCTTCAACCATACAAAGTTATCTGAGCATACAAAAACAACTACCTCCAGCAATATATCACAGCAAACTTGTACTCATTAAAAGCAGTGGTTGCACCTCAGGGGCAAGATTGTGTGATCCTATCCAAAACATCACACAGGAATATTGCTTTTAGACACAGTGTATGATGTTCTTCCATCTCCAATTACCACTCCAAGTCCTGCTCTAGCCACCTGAGAATCAATGCAAGCTGAAAAAGATATGGCTTAAAATGTGTACTCTTACAATTCTGAAAAGATGTTATCAATTTCAGGTCGAGGGCAAAGGTTGTTGAGGAAAACTCTGTACACTTCTGGAGTGAAATCTTCTTGAGGTATTGAATCATTCTGGGAAATAAAACAACGGAGTCAGCAAATGGTCTTTTTCCTTCCCCAGCTTCCTCCCTCCCTGTTTTTTCTCTGTCTTCTTTTCTCTCCTTTCTTTTCTTCCCCCCTTCCCTCACCTTCTCCCTCTCTCTTTCCTTTCTTTTTCCTTTTCTTCTAGGAGGTCAGGGTAAACATTCATAACACACCTATGAGGTCAACCGTAGCGTTCATTTGGACACTGGCTTTAGGGTGTCAAACCCTTTTTTCTGTGGCTTTTTCAGTTTAATTTAAGTTTAAGAATTGTCTCCTGCTAAAGGGATGTTAATGCAATTTCCTATATACATTTTCTAAAGCAAGTTAGATCTAGGAAAGATAGTCTGTTTGACAGAATTATTTTTAGGTTTTTTTTTTTTTCCTACTTGAATCTTTTTTTTTCTTTTTTTAAGTAATGACCCTAGAGACAGACATAGTCAAAATGAAAACATAAATTCCAATTTTGTGTCAATTATTTTCAAACTATGTTCCCTCTGGTTTAAATAATCTGATAAGTTGTAAAACAGTTTTCATAAGTAGGACAGCACCAGTCATTATTTTTTCACTGACTGCTCCTGGTCCTATTGTTTAGGAAGCAAGTCATTGATATAAAAGGCCACTTCTATGACTTATTTTTCTGTTTGGTTGGGCTGCCATGGAAACCGGAAGCATGTATTCAAGCCTTTGTTAACAGGAAAGACATTTTTCATGCAGTCTTCCTATTTCAGGTATGTGTTAATGTGATTATTTTTATTTTTCAAGCCCTTAAACAAAAGAACACACCCTTCCTTTGACTATTTTCATAGGTTTTGAAATGTACAGTTATACAAATGTCTAAAAATTATTGTCTGAAGTTGTTCACCACTTGCAAACAGATAGGAGAACTTAGCTCACCACTTGGCAGACAGCAGAAGACCCGTATTTGTGGATTGAATGAATGAAGTAATATTTCCTTTGCTAAATCCATTTACAGAGATAGAAAAAATCTATTTTGCAAAACAGAATTTTGAGACAACCGAACAATACATGAATCATTATACATAGATGTGTTGTATCATTATAACTTGGGCTACTTGGGCACAAACTTTGAAATAAGCACAAGCGGTCAAATCCAAGAGCAGTGGGGACTTCTTGTGAATTGTTTTATTAGTATTTTGCCATTCATAAAAAGGGAACAAGTATAACCTGCAAGCAGGTTTCCAAAAGTCCTCTTGATTTATAGAAAGAGAGAAATCTCTTTAGCCGGAGAGTGCTCACTTTTCAGTACCACCCTCTCTCTAAGTGGACACCAGGAGCTCTGTAAATGGTTTTAATAGATGAAAATGACCCTATCTACCATACTCATTGGCTGTTAGACACAAGGAAGAGAAATATTTAAAATCAATTGCAAGAACATGCTCAATGGCACTGCTGGCCAACTCAAGTGCCTCCAGCTTTACTGGATTTTATGAACCCCAAGGGTGTTCTCCTATTTTCCCTACTAAAAAGAGTTCACCTCATTCCCCCTTTCACCAACTTCACTCAACGTACACATAAATTAATTTGATCTAAGGATAGCAATAATTGTCATCCTTCACTTACTGACCTCTCTTTTCCTTCCCGTCTATTTATAACTTCTTTTTCTGGAAAGCCTTGCCTTCCCCTTGAACTGGATTTTGTCTTCCAGTTGTGCACACATCACACCTTGCATGTCTCACATTTCAACACTCAATGTATTGTGCTCCCAGCTATACAATTCTGTCTAGTCTTTGCTAATCTGCAGATGTACACGAGCTAGGATATGTGTCTTGTCTGTTAATGGCTCTATTTCCAGTGTGCCACATACAGTAGGTATAAATAAATATTTACTAAATGAATGGATGTAATTTATTGAGAAGTGTGGAGAAATGGATAGCGAGCACGCATGTGCTGTTATTTCCTTTGAAATATCAAATTTAACTAACATCATTTACGTAAGAGTCCTGACACATAATTTGATAGAACAATATGCTTTACTAAAATCTTAGCATTGTTTATGTACCAGCTATGAATTAGGAGGAGTCAAATTAAAGAGATAATCTGAATAAACACAACATTATTTTCATTGCGAGTTGGATGATAGCATATTGAAGAAAGAAAATATTTCAATACAGCTGATTTTCTTTGTCTCATTTTTCTCTTGCCCAACTTGACTGATGAGGATACCCCAAAGTCTTTGGGGTTAGTAGGTGAAAATGGAAGAAAAAATGTTCCATAAAGAGGAGTTAAAATAAGTAAGCATCATTAAATGCTGAGATGAAAGGCTATAGGGGAGATGTTTAGGTAAAAGCTATGGATAATCCCTAATTCCTTGCATCTTAAACAAGACTGAAATTCACAAAGCTAATTCACAGACTTTCTCTTTCTCAATCTCACAGCTTGGTGAAGTGAATGGCACGGATTCATTTTTCCTGTTTGTCTAGGAGGAAATCCAAGGTCTAATACTCTAAAGATCCTGCCCAATGTTCAAATATTCCTCCGTGAACCCTTCCTGACCACATCAGCTAGACATGACACTACTTTTTCTTTGTGTTCACAGTCTCCCTTTATCTATCTTCATCATTGCATCCATTTCACAGCTTTTCCTTTATTTTTTATATTTCTTATTTTCTACTGAACTATGAGCTTTTGAGTGACATGACAATCTCTTATTTAATTCCTTTGTGTTCCCAGCATGGTGCCTGGTATATAATAGATACCTAATCAGTGTTTGCTGGATGAACCCAGGAGATGATACCAGACCTTGGGTCTTCTGTTTTAATCCAGGACGTGGTCCATCACATCAGGCACCCAATACAAAACGCACTGTCAGTGATGACTTGTTGTTGTTTGGCCTTTTTGAAGGATGACTTAAGAAGGCTAGTATAATCTAAATTAGTAATCTGAATGAGGCCCATTTATTTTAGAAACTGCAAAGTACTGGCAAACTTGAAAAAATGGAAGTGTTTCAATACCATGCTTATATACAAGGAATCTCAAAAGGGAAAAGATTTTAACAATCTTGGTGGTAGTACTGGTGGCATTTGCATTTCTAGATTCCATAGACCTGGTAATGTCATATCCAAATGCCAAATTAAAAATAAAAACAAGATCCCCCCAATATATGCATATGAAAAATACTCAAAATGAGAATAATAATTAGCATTTACAGTATATCAAACATAGTTCTATGAGCTTTACTTGAATATTTTCATGTAATCCCATCAACTCTATGCAGTTGGCATTATTACTGTACTACTTTTATAGATAGGAACACACAAGTGCTAGGAGGTTACAAAACTTGTCTAAGGTCCTGGGTTGAGCAAATGGGTGTGATGAGGTCACAATGACTATATTTTGAATCTGAGTTGCTTAATTCTATACCTTATACTGTAAACCAGTACACTAAATATTCCTATTAGTTTTGGGACGGTGGTCTGCATTTTCTTCGTTATATATTTCTTGATTTAAAAAATAATTATATGAGAAATGGGTACTTAAATTTCGGAAAAAAATCAGAAAAAATGTTATTTTAAAATATATTAATTCACTGAAGCAGACTCTAATGAATAAAGTCCACATATAGACTTGTTTTTCTTGACAAGTTGATGGACAATTTCCCAGTAAATTCAGAAATTCAATATACTGTCAATATTTTTATTCTGAAACTATAAATAAAACATTGAATTAGCCATGGAATACATGAAATAACTACAAGTAAATCACTCATAATGAACGGAATACTTAATTTGGTTTTAAAGTAGAATTTTGATATTAGTCATATTAAGAATCACAACTACAAAAGTGATTGCTTCTGATTTATATTCAGGATGTAAGGCACAGAAGAAAGGCAACATACTAATAAGTTACACACAGAAGTTATTTTATACATTTTATTCATAGTATTTAGTAAAATTTATACAATTCTTCAAATTTAAAATAATTAATTTCTCTTTGTATTACATGTGTGCCCACCAACTACAGTAAACTTTATTATTTGAAACAAATACATGGGTTTATTCCTGATCTTCTTCGTTAAAATGCAACTCCGTATGCCAGTGCTGTGGCAAGACTATTATACAATTCCAGATGTCACTGAGCTCTTTTCAAGTTAATAAGCCTTAAATCAAGGGAATTTGGTGCAAATAAACTATTTTCAGTTCTCAGAAAGTTTGTGGGTAAAGTGGTAATTTTTTGAACACGGAACAGTTTTCAAGGGTCTCACTGGAAAATATGCTTGGGTTGTTAACAGAAGGACAGTAATTGCTTTGTCTCTCTCTTTGGATACAGTACTACCTTTTAACAATTAGGGTAACTTCAGGCTAGCAACTGTGATTTCTAAAGAGTAGCATCTTCTAAAGGAATATGTTATTCTAGTGGATCACGTCAGCCAGGATACAAGTTCAAGTGCCTTATTTATCCCCAACAATGTGCAGTAATATCATGTTTTAAAAAGAAATCTCAACAGGACATCCACTGTGTTTCTGGTAATATATCTATTTACAGAGCACAATTAAATCTAGCTTAAATGACTTGGCTACAAAATATGCTCCCATTTACGCAGAACCAACTATGATTTATATAACCCTTTTCTTCCGTGGCTTGTTTAAAATACCTCTTGTGAATATGGCCAAAATTTTTTGCTAATTAGTGGATATTTTCTAGAGTCATTGTTATGTAGGAATGAAATTATCACAGAGATTTAAAACAGAGTTTTGATACATCATAGTCAGTTCACAGAAACATTTATTTCCTAGCTCTGAAACAGTCTTTGGTTTTTAGATTTTTAAAAAGCATTCTAATTCTATAAGTCATCCAAGTAAATTATACTTTACTATGAATAATAATTTTTCAAAGTTTTAGCATAGAGGTTTTTTAAAGTTTTCTCCAACTTCAGATAATTATCATTACATTTAATTTGTTAGAGATAATTTTTTCTAATTTAAACATAACTCATGTTATTTGAATCTCATTTTCCTTTTAAATTTGCCTGCAATTGACATTGGTCTGAAAGTTTGAACATATAATAAACATAGTAGATTACTCAATGTGTATTTATTGACTGCTCAGAATCCAGTTGTTTAGAAAATTACAATTTACGGGGAATTGGTTCATACATTTAATTTTCTATTCCTTCTTTCCCTTAGCTAGATTCATAAGTTAAATATTTTGATTATTATATTTTACCAGAGGTTATCCAGAAAAGGTAAAATCAGAAGTGATTGCAAAAGGAAAAAAATTCTTTGCATGTCTTTGCAAATCCATCTCTCATGTTTTCTCTTTATGCTTGAATGCGGTGGTCTTTTCTCAGTTGCTTAAATCCAGTAGGGAAATTATTTCCAGCCTCAGGGATTTGCGAGCATTGTTTTCTTTTTCTGGAATGAGCTTCCCTTCTTCTCAATAGTAGTTCTCCAGTCTTTCTTTTTATAGCACTTCCCCCAGTTTACAGACGCATTTGTTGGCATGCTTATTGGCTAGTTTCCCCAGAAGACTCTATTGTCCTTGAAACCTTGAGTTTCATTTTCTTCACCACCATATTCTCAATGCCTATGGGCACATAGTAAGAGCTCAAGAAATATTTGTTGAAGTCGGGGACAGGACCTTAATTGTTATATTTTTCCTATTCCAAAGCATCTAACAAAAAAGCAATAGCAAGCAGGTTCAAGCATTTTATTTTGCTTTATAAAATGAAGGTGAAAATGTTTTGGGGGAGCCTTTCCACAGCTCTGCTCACTTTTCGCAGCCTCATTAGCTTTTTCCACCTATAGAAGAAAGGTGATAGTGAAGAGGTGCTCTTATTTCTTTCTTGTGACCCACCAAAGTTGTTAATGAACTTTGCTGTTTTGAAAAGTCTTCACAACAATAATTGGCTGATAAATTTAACCATAGCACTCAATACTTTTATAATTCAATCATAAGTCTAAGAATGGCTTTGCAAACTTATTCAGTGCAACTTGAACATTGCTGGCACATTTTGAGGGGCTCAAAGGTTCTTCCTATAAAGTCATGTTACCCTTAGGTAAAGGCTTCCTTGTTGCTTAGATACTCAGATAAAAATAATGAAAGGAGAGCTCTGCACGAGAAAAAAATTTTATGCAATGGACTTCCAGAAACAATAGTAACAAATCATTTTAGAGCCAGTCATGTAGAAATGAATCAAAATGAAAGCAAATTATTTTATTTGAGGTGGTTAATGTATATGATGTACCTTGTGTGTGTCAGGCATAAAAATGAAAGCATGTTACATGCTTGTCCTCTCACCTACTTTACCACCGTATGAGCAAAGTAGGTGTTTAGATCCAAACTGTTTAGATCCTGCACCCCCTCAGTAAAAACTTTCTGAGCACAGCTCTGTAAAGTATGTAAATATATTTATTTATAAGCACATAGCAGCATACTAATTGCTTACATAGCTTATACATCTTAAAACTAAACATTTTAAAATGCTAAGGTGAGATGAAATTAATATTTCAAATATCTTCCTAAACATAACGGCTTCACACTGATCCAGGGCTGGAAAGCCCCAAAGTAGGGCTTAGCCTGCGAGGGTTCTTGGCTTCACTCAGGAAAGAATTCAAGGACGAGCCAGTGGTAGGGTAGAAGAAAATAACTTTACTGAGGCAGCAGTGTTACAGCTCCATGCCTGTTCCCGCAGAGCAGGGCTACTCCATAGGCAGTGTGCTCAGAGTAGCAGCTCAGGCAGTTTTGAGGTTGTATTTATACTTACTTTTAATCACATGTAGATTAAGGGGTGGTTAATACAGAAATTTCTATGATAGGAGTGGCAATTTTTGGGTCATTGGATCATTACCGTGGAAAGCGGTGGTAATTCCTCGGTGTTGCCCTGGCAATGGTAAACTGACATGGACATATCTTATGGAAAGCTGCTTCCGCTCCCCCTGTTTTAGCTGGTCCTTAATTTGGTCCGGTGTTCATACCCCACCACCAGAGTTGAGTCTCGCCTCCTAACTCAACACTATCATTAGCTAATATCTTAAAAAAAACATCAAGAAGGGTTTATTGTTAATAAGTTTGAAACCACATTTCAAATTGTCATCTTGATAATGTTAGCCTTTTTTGACTATTTTAAAAATATTACCTGATTAGGTGACTTTTTTATCTACAAAAAGCAAGGGTCATTCTAGATTGAAATACTGGGGTTATAGGAGTGAAAAGAGGCCTCACCAAGTCTTGGCTGTTTCTAGCTAGCTCTATAAACTTTTTTCAGCCTCTGTTCATTACCCAGTTCCAAAGCTGCTTCTACATTTTCAGATATTTGTTATCAGCAAAAACCCCACCTCTTGGTACCAATTTTCAGTCTTACTCTGTTTTCTGATGCATATAGCAGAATACTTGAAACTGTATAATATATAGGAATCAAAATGTATTTCCTACAGTTACAAAGGCTGGGAAGTCCAAGGTGGAGAGGGCACATCTGGCAAAAGTCTTCTTGCTAGTGGGGACTCTCCACTTTGGCAGAGGTGGCACAGGGAATCAGATGGTGAGGGGGAAGAACATGCTAGCTCAGGTCTGTTTTTCTCTTCTTATAAAGCCACCAGTTCCTCTCCGATGATAATCCATTAATTCATTAACCCATTAATCATGGAAGCTCTTAATTTCCTCTTAAAGGCCCTACCTCTCAAAACTGTCATATTGGGGATTAAGTTTCAACATGAGTTTTGGAGGGGCTGAACATTCAAACTATAGCATAACACACATGCTCACCCTTGAAGATGGAAGACTACAAGCCTCTAAAGCAGTTTCAACTCGCTTCCGATCTGCTGAAAACAAGCGATATATGCTGTGAAGTGAACACAACAAAGGAGAGAGGTTTAAATGGCACATGGATCACAGCACTAACAGATGATGCCAACTCAAAATATTCCATTCAGTCAAATCTATTTATTATTCATATTTAAAGAACTAAAAGATAACCATTCCTCCATGCATTTGCATCTGTCTTCTGAAAGATCAACTGCGTGCTTTTAAAATTAAGGTGTCTAGTATAAAATCAGTATTTTAGGATTATGGTGCTGACCCAATTAAAAAATATTGCATTAAATAATCTCTAATATTAAGCACTAAAATAAACATCCTTATTAATTCTGTCCCCTTGCTGCTACTACCCATTGCCCCAAGGTGTACATTGCATTATTAATAAATTTAATTTTTAATTTGTTTACTTTTAAATTAATTTCTTTTCTTTTCTTTCTTTCTTTCTTTTTTTTTTTTTAGAGACAGGGTCTCACATTGTTGCCCAGGCTGGAGTGCAGTGGCATGATCCCAGCTTACTGCAGTCTCCACTTCCCATGCTCAAGTGATCCTCCCACCTCAGCCTCCCTAGTAGTTAGAACTACAGGCATGTGCCACCACACCTGGCTAATTTTTAAAAATTTTTGCAAAGATAGAGTCTCACTATGTTGCCTAGGCTGCTCTCAAAATCCTGGCCTTAAGCAATCCTTCTGCCTTGGCCTTTCAAAGTGCTGGGATTACAGGCATGAGCCACTGTGCTTGGCTTAATTTGTGTATTCGCAGAAGCTTTCTAGTAGCTTGTAAGTCAAAAGTTAAAGACTTTTGGCTGGATATGACCTAGAGATGGACTTTTTTTCGTTACTAATTTGATTTAAAAATAGAACTTAAGTACTGGACAATTTAATATACTAATTTAGGTTTATGGGTTCTATAAAGACATTAGACAATCTAGTGTCAGGTGCTCACCAGTCCCACAGGATATATGGTGGAGATGAGCTGTTGTCTCCTTTAGACAGGGTTTGCTCTTTAGTTTTTCCTCCTCCTCCTGACCTGTTTCATCATTTACATTCCCTGCCTGGCTCCAGTTAGCATCTGAGGTTGCAAACCCTGCTTGAGGGCTACAGCCATCTTGGTAGAAAGAGGCACTGAGGTCGGCCAATTTCCACTCCTAGAACAGATCTGAATCTCAGATGGCCTTTCGGCCTTAGTAGCAAGGGTCCCTCCACTTCCTCCACCCACTTCCTGCTTTGGTATTTCTTGAAAATAATGCCAGAGGAAAGGGAAGCCCCGGGGAGACGTCTATGAGGAAAGCAGCTGCACTGACATGAGACATGTGTGAGGGAGGACAGGGCTA
This sequence comes from Homo sapiens, assembly GCF_000001405.40. Lineage (NCBI taxonomy): Eukaryota > Metazoa > Chordata > Mammalia > Primates > Hominidae > Homo > Homo sapiens. The sequence goes on along the minus strand of NC_000020.11, from coordinate 8,648,068 downwards.
CCACGCATTTCCACACTCCCACTTAGGCTGCTGGAGAAACAAAACAGAGCCATGGCATGGATTCAGATCTTTGAGGAAAATAAAATGAATAATGAGAAATGCTCACAAAGCTTACTTTTTGAGAGGAATACGCCCTTCTGGAGTGACTTGCAGCTTAAGTTTAGTATAGCTGTTGGAGAAGCAGAAAAACAAGGGTTTGATTTTTTTAAAAAAGCTTTTTTTTCTTGAACAATAAAATACACTCAAAAAAGCCCATGCCTTTGTACATTTTGCTGAATTTCCACAAACTGCCCAAGTCTCCACAGTTGGCACCCAGATTAAGAAATAGAACATTGTCACTTTAGCAGCATTCCAGAAGCCCTTCCCAAACGCCCTGCCAAAGGGAACTGTTATCCTGACTACAAATAGCATAGATTACTTTTGCCTGTTTTTGCACCTTACATGAAGGAATCATACTCTTGTGTTTGGCTTCTTTCACTCAATAGCATGTTTCTGAGAACTAACCATATTTTGCTTATTGTTTGCTTATATATTCATTCTCAGAATGAGAACTCTAGGTCACTGTTGATGGATGCATACATTGGGAATTCTACTTCAGGAAGCTGCACACGCTAAGGCCCAGCAATCCCAAAGCTAGATGTGTGCAACAAAAATATTAACAATATGTTCACTAAAAGACATGTCCATAGTAGCTATTCATAGGGAGACATCTTTCTGGAATAGACATTTGTAGTAGAGATTGATTAGCCAACTAGCAATAACATGCTATGTTTCAGATAAAACATGTTATTTACCTCTGTGTCCCCTTTCACTAACATTTCATGGAAGAATGAATGTTCTAGAAACATTGTCTGGAAAACATATTCTAGAAGAAGGATGATAAAATCAAAGACAAGGTAAAAACATAGAGGAAGAAAGGAAGGGAAGAGGTGGAGGCATGAAGGAAGAGTCCTTAAGTTAACAAACTCAGGAGAGGAGGCGATCCCATAAAAAAGCCCTTAAATGAAGACCTGAGGTATTGACTAAAAGCAAAAGGAATTCATAGAAGAGTAAAATAAAGGAATGTGGCTGAGGTATTAGGTCTGGAATGATGGGTATGTCTTACATAAGAAGAGGGAAGACAGAACTCTGTTAAACAAAATAGAGGACCACCTATTAATGTTTCTACTTGTGGTTTTGATTTAAAGACTTCCTAACCTCCTGACCAACCACAGCTTCCAAAATGAACACAACCAGCTTTCCTTGCTGCTCATCTTGCCTAAGTCATTATTTTCCTTGGTCAAACAATTTTTAGAAGGGCTGTGGCAATTCCAGAGTGATCTGGCAATTTGTTTTGCTTTTCTTTCCTTATTTTCCTTCTTCTCTTTCCTTTAGATCCTTTCTCTTTTCTTACTAATACTTGCTGGGATCATCTACATGGGATGGAATCAGGATGTCAGCCTATTGATTTAAGTAGTCAGGAAAGGTATTGTAGCATCTATCTATAACTCTACAGAAATGAGGAACATATGCTGTTCCTCAGATTAATAATTGAGAGGACACACACAGATGTAGAAGCAGAGGATTATCTGAAATTAATAATTTTTAGTTCTGAGCACAGCTGCCAGGATTTGGAAGTGTCTCTTTGTTGTGTGTCAAAAGCACTGACATTCATGCGAACTTAGCCCAGGTGTAACACAGATGTGCAGCTTGGAGGAAAGAGCAATCTTTCTTGGAAGTCTTCCAATTCTGAACAGGGGAGGTATCAGTTCTCTAATAAATCCCAAAGGAAAATTTGTGTTTATCAATGTGAGAAGTCAGTATGGCATAAACGGAAGACTCACAAAGGAGAAAGGAAACTGACTCAGAAGAAGCAACGCCCTTAGCAATAAAATTAGAGTGACTTACGCTTTTTCCAGAAATGCATCCCTGGACATGTTTTGGGCCAGCAGGTTTGTTGCCAAACTGAAAACCTCATTTGTCCATTCCTGAAAAATGTAAATAACACTTGCATTAGCTTAAATACTGCACAGTCATTAGACACATGCTTTTAGCTTGGCTTCCAGGAAGACACATTAGTTCAATGTGCATGCCAAAGGTTTTTTGTTTTGTTTTGTATTATTATCCCTTTTTTGGGTAAAAATGACATAAGTAAATTCAAGTCCCTGAGAGACTACTCTTTTCCAAAGGAGATGTTCTTTGTACATAAAGGTTTTTCTGCTTTTTAAAATTTGTATAAATAGAAAATTGCTCTGTTTCCCTTCAATAACTAAGCACATTTTACTATTTCCTTGAATTATAAACAGATAAAGAGTCATTAAAAATTTAAAATATGATCAAATATGTTTCCAGCAGAACATGCAAACATAATCTTCCTGCTCTACTACTCATGCCAAAGCAGCTATATCTGGTATCTTTAACTGTTAACTACAGTTCTAGAAATTCTCCATACCATGTAGTCACAAGGCCACATAATATGCAATATTCTCCCTTCTCCCAACACTGTCAATATCTCACTAATCTCCTAATCATAATCCCTACCTCATACCAGAAAGCAATGATCTCACTAGGCTTCCAAGATAATGGAAAAGAGCAAGTCTACAAAAAAATATAGAAGTTCCATTCTGCGTGATTATTTGAAACACACAACACATTCTGGGCTGAAACCCCTACAAAATTCTCCAAGAGAAGATGACACAAGACCTAGGTCATCATCTGATATTGTTGTAGTTGACTTGGCTCCCTCTTCAATGAAATAATGTCTTTATTTTTTTTATTTTTTTTTATTGATCATTCTTGGGTGTTTCTCACAGAGGGGGATTTGGCAGGGTCATAGGACAATAGTGGAGGGAAGGTCAGCAGATAAACAAGTGAACAAAGGTCTCTGGTTTTCCTAGGCAGAGGACCCTGCAGTGTTTATGTCCCTGGGTACTTGAGATTAGGGAGTGGTGATGACTCTTAACGAGCATGCTGCCTTCAAGCATCTGTTTAACAAAGCACATCTTGCACCGCCCTTAATCCATTTAACCCTGAGTGGACACAGCACATGTTTCAGAGAGCACAGGGTTGGGGGTAAGGTTACAGATCAACAGGATAAGAATTTTTCTTAGTACAGAACAAAATGAAAAGTCTCCCATGTCTACCTCTTTCTACACAGACAGGGCAACCATCTGATTTCTCAATCTTTTCCCCACCTTTCCCCCCTTTCTATTCCACAAAACCGCCATTGTCATCCTGGCCCGTTCTCAATGAGCTGTTGGGTACACCTCCCAGACGGGGTGGTGGCCGAGCAGAGGGGCCCCTCACTTCCCAGTAGGGGCGGCCGGGCAGAGGCGCCCCTCACCTCCCGGGCGGGGCGGCTGGCAGGGCGGGGGGCTGACCCCCCCACCTCCCTCCCGGACGGGGCGGCTGCCGGGCGGAGACGCTCCTCACTTCCCAGACAGGTTGGCTGCCGGGCAGAGGGGCTCCTCACTTCTCAGACAGGGCAGCTGCCAGGCGGAGGGGCTCCTCACTTCTCAGACGGGGCGGCTGCCGGGCGGAGGGTCTCCTCACTTCTCAGACGGGGCGGCCGGGCAGAGACGCTCCTCACCTCCCAGACGGGGTCGCGGCTGGGCAGAGGCGCTCCTCACATCCCAGATGGGGCGGCGGGGCAGAGGCGCTCCCCACATCTCAGACGATGGGTGGCCGGGCAGAGACGCTCCTCACTTCCTAGATGGGATGGCGGCCGGGAAGAGGCGCTCCTCACTTCCTAGATGGGATGGCGGCCGGGCAGAGACGCTCCTCACTTTCCAGACTGGGCAGCCAGGCAGAGGGGCTCCTCATGTCCCAGACGATGGGCGGCCAGGCAGAGACGCTCCTCACTTCCCAGACGGGGTGGTGGCCGGGCAGAGGCTGCAATCTCGGCACTTTGGGAGGCCAAGGCAGGCGGCTGGGAGGTGGATGTTGTAGCGAGCCGAGATCACGCCACTGCACTCCAGCCTGGGCACCATTGAGCACTGAGTGAACCAGACTCCGTCTGCAATCCCGGCACCTCAGGATGCCGAGGCTGGCAGATCACTCGCGGCTAGGAGCTGGAGACCAGCCCGGCCAACACAGCGAAACCCCGTCTCCACCAAAAAAATACGAAAACCAGTCAGGCGTGGCGGCGCGCGCCTGCAATCGCAGGCACTGGGCAGGCTGAGGCAGGAGAATCAGGCAGGGAGGTTGCAGTGAGCCGAGATGGCGGCAGTACAGTCCAGCTTTGGCTCGGCATCAGAGGGAGACCGTGGAAAGAGAGGGAGAGGGAGACCATGGGGAGAGGGAGAGGGAGAAAGAGGGAGAGGGAGAGGGAGAGGGAGAGGGAGAGGGCTATTTTTTGTATTTTTAGTAGAGACGGGGTTTCACCATGTTAGCCAGGATGGTCTCGATCTCCCGACCTCGTGATCCACCCGCCTCAGCCTCCCAAAGTGAAATAATGTCTTTTAGTTTAATTGCTTTGCCACCTGTTTTTTTGTTGTTTCTACTTTTGTTTGATTTGTCTTTTTTTTGCTTCCTGACTTAAGGCACCGATAATACGCTGTCATGTGTACAGTAACATTCAAGATGGAACTGGAGGAGCAGGGAACATAGAGTGATGGGGAAGAAAAGAGGGAATCCCGAGCAGAGAAAACTGGGAAAAGAACTAGAGGTGAGCTAACATGGCAGGAGTTAGAGCAAACAAAAAGTAGTCTAATAGGAATTAGAAAAGAGGGAGGGGGTTGCGACAACAAACTAGAGTTGTGGTCAGAGGATAAAGAGCATTTAGGTGTCTGGAGATAAATTAGTAAAAAATGTGATGCCAGGGCTAGGCTGCATATCAGACAGATTATCTGGCAGCCAGGTCAAGGATGGATTTGAGGCTGAGAATCCAAAGAAGGGTAACTCAGTTAGGAAGCTGTAATAGTCCAGTAGTCCAGGTGAGAAATACTGAGACCTTGAACTCTATATGTTGGAGGAGGACTTAAAAAGACAGTACAGAATAGCTGCAAGAGAGAAGCAAAATTATTGCTCACCAAGCTTTATGCCGACACAGAAGAGCATTTCACAGTAACTATCTAACAAATTAAAAATCAATTTTCCTTAAAATAGATAATTTTAAACTAAGAATAATAACCACTGGTTTCAAAAATATGTTTCTGGTATAATATTTTGTAGGCTCATGGCCAAGCTTTAGACATTTCTAGCTCCATGCCAACTTTCTGCATTGGTAAAAGTATCTATAACTGAGGGCAAGATACAGTTTTGTATGTTTACCAGAGGCTAGTTTCACGCCAGAAAAAGGTACAGCATTAGAAAGAGTTGGGGAGATTTAACTACACAGAGTAGTTTCATTGCCCTAAAAATTCTCTGTGTTTCACTATTTATCTCGTCCTCTATTGAATTAATATTTAAAAGTTACTGGGACATATAATAATTTTAAACAAGATATTTTAATATTGGTGAGACATGTAAAGGTCCTATTTTTTAATATTTTATATTTGTTTTTTATTTATTGGCAAACTCCTATTGCTGTCATTGATAATGGTGTCATTCTGATTACCTCTACTCATAAGGGGGTGGCAGTGTGTGATGTGAGTAAGGAGGAACATTGTGTGATTCAGTCAGTGTTGCCTCACCTGGCTGAACACATTTCTGTCACTACTGGCATGCATCAGAATTCATCCTGCTGAGCATTTAATGTCTTAATGACGCAGTGAAGAATCTTTTCATGGTGAAAGATGGTACAGGAGCTGGAAAGCCTTTTGTTAAAATCAGAAAGGACTATCTGATAACTGACTGCACTTTTGATACTATACTGAACATCTAGAATTTTGGAAAAAATTCTGGTATAGTTTCTCTGTGGATCTTATATCATAGTCAAAGTGCTCTCGTTTTTATCTTATACCAAAAGAGAAATGATTGCCAATCATACATAATTACAAAAAAACCCAACTAACAAAAAGCTAGGAAACATATTAGGACTCAATATTGTCATGATTAGGACAACTAGCATAATAATATTACTCAAATCAAGGAAAGATGCATAATTATTTTCAGATCATGTTATTCAAATGTCTTTAAGCTACATCTGACAAAAGCACAACTCAAACTAACTTAAGAAATAGGAGAAAGTATCAAGTGCAATGGGTCGTTTCCTGTAATTGAAGGAAAAACTGGACAAACTGCAGCCAAAAAATGCATTTATAATAAATACATGATCATCAGGAATTTGGAGACTGAATGCAAAAGGGCTTTCTTGATTGCTATTACTCTGCTCTCTTCCTGAGGGCATTTTTCTTTTCCTTACTGACGGGTTCTTCCCCATGGCCACCAACTTCACCAAGAGTTGTCACATATGGTATCTTTCACCACCAGAGAAGGTCTGGCTAATTCCTCCATTTTCAGTAACAAGAATGCTGGGAAAGGTCTGATTGGTCTACCTCTTGAACAATCAATCAGGTAAGAACCTAGCAGTGTCCACGACAACCAAGTAATTGGATCTGGGAAGGAAGCAATGACCAGAAGAGGGGAGAGTATAGCAAACATGGCATATGCCCATTACCTAGGAGTCCTGTGGGAAAGCAGACGGAAGGAAAGGGTGTGTGTTGTTTCATAACTTATGTGGGATCTCATAGTTCTGCCTCGCATTCTTTTTTATAAAATAGGTAATAGATTCATAATCACTGAGTTGACTGCATAAGTGAATGTGTAAATGAAAGAGACTGACTTCCATGCTTTATGATTTATGTCTTTTGAAATTAATTTTTATATCTCCTCTATTGTTATAAGTTTCAATAACCATTCTTGGCTAGAGGGCTTGTAATACTGGCTTTATGCATTTCTGTTGTAATGTGAACTATACTGGAATAGTTTACAAACATTAGGAGTCCTGGATATAACATGGGACTAGCAAGCTCTCCAATTAATAAAGTACAGAAGCTTTTGTGTAAGGGTTTGGGCATCTATGTTGGCTATGTAGACATACTTATTATGCTTTGGTTGATGTTTTGGGCTGTATTCTGAAGAACTGTTGTTCAAGTATCTTTTTTTCAGGTAAGTGAAGCAATATTCTTCTAAATGGTATCCTGATACTCTAAGGAAGAGTTCAGGCTGCCAGTTCTAGTATGTCCCAGTCTTCTTGACATTCCTCTGCCAAATGGGAAAAGTTTAACGTGGTGAAATGAAATGAAAATGAACTTAAAGAAAATTCTTCCACGGGAAAAATTAAAACTCCCCCAAAGAGCAACGTCCATGGCACAGAGTAGAAGAACGGAGAGATGTTTGTTTCTGTTGAAGTTTTCACAATGAGACGACTGCAGCTGTATCACTGGGAGTCTCAGGTGTATTCTTAGCATCCACTGGGGAGACCTCCTCCCTTCCCTCCTCCTAGTTTCCTGAGTCATTATTCATTTGTACAACTGAGAAAATGCTAATTGTGTGCTCATATACAGAACCCCCAAAGTTTCATTTTTGTGGATTTCATGTCAATCCCTCACATTCCTGAAATGATTCTTCCAACAGTCTCATGTCATTCTTATGAAAACACTTGCTATTATGCCTTTGAATCCTAGCAGTCTCAGTGTTAATTATTACTTTGGTTGTATCTGCCTCGGTGCTGTGTACCATAGACAATAAATGTAAGCGGGGTCTGTAATTATAATTGATATCGTTGTTCATTACAAAAATAATTCCATTTGAAGAGATCACATAAAAAAGGATTTTAAAAGAAAAAAGCACTGCTAATTTCCTTAGTAAGATGTATGTGAAACAGAAAAAGGGGAGCAATCGCAATTCTTGGGCATTAAGCATGCTGCTTATCTGCTTATTATGAAAGCAGTTCGACAATCTTAAAACTGCATTACTTGAAAACTGATTAGTGAACGAGGCACAGGTAGTTCCTCATTAACTTATAATTTAATGACAGAATTCTGCTGAAATATAATTTTCTCATTTGGAAATAAATTTGTTTTAAATTACCTTAATTATACCTTCCAACTTTATTTTAAACCTTTTTGCAAGCTAGATTCTTCTCTTCAAATGAAGAGGGTATTTTGCCCTTGGTAACTCAATCCCGTTAGTTCTTCCTCTGCTATAAGAACGATTCTTTGTCTTTGGCCTTGATTGTTCCATCTTTGACCATTCTCACTGCCTGTGAAGGTCTTGGAATAGTGACTCTTAAACACAGTTTTTTTTTTTTTTCTTGTCTTCTAATTTAAAAGTAAAATATTGATATCAGTTTATTTAATGGCTCTTCCTGACTTTCATATTGCAGATCCTTGTTCTAGCTTATCATGGTTATAATTTATTGGATTTCAGAACACAATTCTACCATTTTCTAGCTGGGACCTTCTGCCAAATGCTATCTCATATCTATTTTATCCTTCTTGCCTAACAGAGGCCCAACAGTGCTCAGGCCAATAATATGTTCAACTGAAAAAAAAATATCCATTTTCCAATGTCCTTAGCAGCTGGGTGACCAACATGTGCCACATGGCAAATCACATGTAAGCAGATGCCTGCTGGAGGGTTCTGGGAAAATGTGTTTCCTGATATAGATCTCTTTTCCTTTTACTGTAGGGAATGTAAATGGAAAGGCTAGAGCTACAGAGGCATCTCGATCTATGAGAAAAAGGCCACGAGAATCATAGGGGCCTCACTCAGCCTTGTTATCCCTGAGCTCCTGAATCAGTGCCAGAAACCACCTGTGGAGTCCTAATAAGATAAGTAAGCAACAATGAGGAAAGGGCCCTAGGTTGGGGAGAACAATCTGAGATGGCTAATCACAGACAACCCGCTGGCACAACACTCTGTTCCCAAATAGCTCCTTCAGCACGTAGTCCCAGTAACTCCAGAAGCATGACCTCATTCTGCACATAACCCCTCCATCATGACCCTATGAAACTTCCCTCCAATCCCTGCCTCTTTGCAGACAGCCCCTTCTCTGCTGTGCTGCCCACTGCACCTTTGCAACATATCTTCAAACTTTCTCTAATAAATCTGCCTTTCTTTACCTATCACTGTCTTGGTAAATTCTCTTACCACCCACAATGCCCACCCCAGGCAGTGGCACCCACAACACTACCTTCAGGGTTCCGGCTACATGAGAAAAAAAGAAAAGAAAAGAAAAACTGAACAAAACACAAATTAAAAATCCTTAATTTGTCTCAGCTATTGTTTGATTTGGTTTTCTGTTACTCCAGGCCAAATGCAAAGACAGAATCATGTTGGACAAGTCTTTTTAAATTTGTCCTCCAATATTCATATATCTTATAAAATGGAAGCAATAATAGAATTTATTTCATAGGGCTTTTGAGAGAATTGGGATAATTCATGTTAGACCAGTGACAGGTGTAATATATGCTTGTTAAATGATAGTAACCTAAAAAACTATTATTTATCGATGAAACAGAGACAGAGTTTCTTAAAAGTTGTTCAGAGGGGTTGGAAAGGCAATGATCACTTCTACGTCCTAGTTCTGTTTCTTGACAACTATTTTCAGCATTTCTATTCTTAAATTTCTGGGGTTTACTTACACATTTCTATTTATATATATGGGTGTGTAATGCTTTTTTCATGTGTGTGTGCGTGTGTGCGTGTATAATGTTTTTCCTTGACTGATTTTAGAATTTGACTATAATATCCTGCTCTGATTGAGGAGGCTTTAAATCTCTGATTCCATCTCTCACCTGCCCTTTCTCCTTGCTTGTGATAGAGTTCTATCACTTGTGCCCTTTCCTCCCTGTCACCTCTACAATCTCAAGCAACATACTCAAACTCTCTTGATCCACTCATTAAAAATAGTATCCCTTGGCTCCTTTATGATAGGAGGACATTTACCTGCCATTCCTTTTACTTCCAACTCTCGTTAGCTTAAACTCACTTTTAAATTGTCAGTTTTTGGCTGGGTGCGGTGGCTCACGCCTGTAATCCCAGCACTTTGGGAGGCCGAGGTGGGCGGATTGTGAGGTCAGGAGATCGAGACCATCTTGGCTAACATGGTGAAACCCCGTCTCTACTAAAAATACAAAAATTAGCCGGGCATGGTGGCGGGTGCCTGTAGTCCCAGCTACTCGGGAGGCTGAGGCAGGAGAATGGCGGGTGAGCCCAGGAGGCAGAGCTTGCAGTGAGCCGAGATGGCGCCACTGCACTCCAGCCTGGGCGACAGAGCGAGACTCCGTCTCAAAAATAAATCAATAAATAAAATAAATGGTCAGTTTTTATCTTGTTCCGCATTCATAATTATGACTTTATTTGCATATAAATTGATTCTGAAAGTTTAAAACAAATATAATAAAAATTTACATGAGTATGAAATTGCAACTATAATTTTCTGCTAGGCCATATATTAGAATATATCAGATTATTTGTTTCAGTTCCAACACCATAACCCACATGGCTTTCCGAAGGGAACATTCCTAATAACAAGTATATATTTATCTTTTTAAGTTCTTTTTTCAGTTTTTGAAAATCTTACATGTTTTAGCATGGTTTATATTTGGATAATACATTTCTGGTACATTTATCCCCACCCTTCTACTTTAACTTTTTTTTGGAGAGAAAAAAATTAAGTCTTTTTCATTTATCTGTCATCTTCCAGTTTCCTACTCATTACCTGAATCTACTCCATTCCTGTACTTGCTATTTAGACTTTAAGACCAGTACTTTTGTTTAGCTCTCAGATATTTTCTTGTAATATCTTCCTTAATTTCCCTCTTCTGATTTCACCTTTTCATTGGCTGATTATGCCTGTAAATATTTGTTGAATGAATGAAAATTATAATATAGTTATCAGGAAAATTACTAGCAAGGTATTTTCAAAAAGTATTTTTAATCCTTAGTGCCAGCTTTTCATTGGGCATCATTTGGCTTAACTACTAAAGATGACAACCAATATCAAGGTAGTAGGTGAAACAGATCAACCTGCCTTTCTCAAAGTATGTCAGTATTCCCCTGCCAACACCAATATTTTATATGTGGAGGGAGAAATTTAAACAAGGAAGCCAGATTTTCTTAGAACTCCTCTTCCTTCCAAAAAGTCACGGTGATTTTTTTTTTTTTTTTGTGGTGCTCATGTTCTTGCTTCCAGGCTAGGCACACCGGTAATGCAATCAGGGCTTACTTAGCTGCCAGGCATCAGAAGGTAGGCAGATGGAGGTATGCAGAAGAGTAGCTTGTCTCTGCAATGGAGTGGATGGAAGGAAAGAAGAGATGCTATTGCTGATGCAGTTTTCTGTTTTCTCTTTCAGGGGAGAGGTGGGCTTGTACTAACAGTAACCCACAGTCTGAAATCACAGTCATTTCTATGTCTCAGCGTTGACATTTTCCCTTCAGTTTGACATTAATTGTTTTTATGTGGGCACCATTGAGCACTCTCTGGCTCCAAAAAAGTTCTTGTCTAGCAAATGCAGAAAAGACACCCAGGAGACAGAAGGCAGGGGTGCTTTCTTCCACAGTCACCAGAATAGCAATTGCTGCTGCTTCTGTGTGTGTAAGGGAGAGACTGAAATCCAAGTTGCCCCTTTTTTAATAAAAATCTTTTTAATACGAATGTCTTTCTTTTGACTTATGAGCTTTTAAACAAATGTTCCAGATAGACGATGTTTTCACAATATAAAAGTTTAAGTTGTGCATCCTTCATTTGCCTGACACATATCCAAAATGTGCAGAATGTAGAGTAAATCTCATTCTCCAACAAAGGACACCTACCAGTATAAAATTCCAAGACAAATAGTGCAATGTATTGACACAGTAAGAATTTGGTCCTTTTTATGATTGGGTGGAAGAATAGCCTAAGATGACACAGGCATTTTTTTTTAATATAATAAGGTCAGGAATAGCAGGTAATGATGATCTCACAAAACACAATAACATGGATCTAACTTTTCATGTTTGCAAACAGTGATCTTTTTGGCACATGTATTCTACCTGCAAGGAAGTCATGCACAGTTTTCCATTATGTCCCAAAACAAATTGCTGAACACAATTTATGGCACCACCTTTTCTTTTTTCTTAATCATTTTTCATTTAAAGTCAAACTTACAGCTACTGCTTACTCATCATAAATTTGTTTGAAATTCAAAATAGAAACGAGATAAAGCACACATTTTGTACAGAATATACGCAAGTGTTTCAAAATTCTTACCTCAATGCATATGTTCCCAGAATAAAAATAAATATAAGAACCTCATGTCTCTTGAGGTCACTTTTAAATAGCTAATACTATTATTTTAGGGCAACTCTAAGAAAATTCCTGAAGTTTTTGATGAATGGCCCGGAGGTGGCCTTAGCAGAACCCTTCACTTGTCCCTCTTTCTTTTCTATTTCCCACCTTTATCCCATAGACTATAATTTCTTTTGCTTAAAAGAAATTCCCCTCTCCGTGACATCTTCTCTCATTTCCTTATCCTGAAAGGTGTCAACTATTTGGTAAATAGAAGCTATTTTTCATTTGCTTAAGAAAGCGTGGAGTAACTGCTGGGTAGGGAAGTGACAGTCACAGTAACTCTGAGTGGGAATAAGGTTAGCTTTGGGAAAAAAGATTAGGAAAATGGAAGCCATCGTAATGAATGCCACCTGGGTCCTCCTACTGAGAATCCTGGCAAGCTGGAGAGAGAATTATTCTAGGAAAAGCCTTAAGCAACCAATCTGCTAAGGGGCCTTAATTTCTCCCAACTCTAAATGAAAAGATTGCAGCACATGGTGTTAAAAGCCACTATGACTCTAAGATTGTACGTGACCTATCACTTATTTTCAAGAGTTCAAAAGCCTCCCCTTTTCCTTTTCCTTTTCCTTTCCCTTCTCCTTCCCCTTTCCTTCCTTTCCTTTCCCTTCCTTTCCTCTCTCACACCTCTCGCATTTATTGAGCCAAGCACTAAGCTAGATCCTGGGAACACAAAACAGACTAAACTACTGTTTTTGACTTTCATCAGCTCGCAAATACAGGATAGATTATAAGACACACTGATTGATAATTACAGTGTAATGACTGTAATTGAAAATATGTTCAAGGTTCACAGAACAACAGATGAAAGAACAATGGGCTATGCATGGAAGTCATGAGATAGAGCGAGAGATGGATGAACTGAGTTGATGCTGAGTCCCTCGGGAGGCCTAGGACTTTTCTTGGTGGACAAAAGAGAGAAAGGCAGTCTAGGAAACTACCATATTATAAAGGCATTAATATTACAATTGTAAAGGTAGAAGAATCACAAGTAGTTAGGAGCTGCTAGAACAGAATGGTGCAACAGTCAAAGTGGTGGATCATCAGTACCTGAGGGTAGGGACTATGTTGGGTCACTGATGAATCCTCAGTGCCCAGCGAGGTGCTTGGCACATACTAGGCCCTCAATAAATGTTTGTTCACTAAATGCACAGAAACTTCATTTTGCAGGTAATAGAGAATGAAAATGATTTAAAATATGATCAGGAATGAGTTTGTTGTTTTAAAAGGCCATTCTTATGCAGATGAGCAGGCAGATTTGTAGAGCAAAGTGTGAGAGAATTTCAGGAAATAGGTAGGTAATGACTATCCATGAGACCTGTCAAGGGCTTAACAAGATGGCAGGAAGAATGGGGAGCAGGAAAGAGATGTGAGAGCTAGTTAGGAAATTCAGAGAGCTGGTGTGTTATCTAGATTGTGCACAAGAAACTGATATAGACGAAGTTAACGAAAACTTCCAGAAAATCTCACTCATATCCTTGAAATAAGTGAATTAGACTCTCCAAGATACTCACAGCTACAGAGGGGGAAGAATCTAAAATTACAAACATTAAAGACTAATGTTCACTTTATATAACATATTTTTAGAGAGCGCATTTCTTCTGTGACATGACAGCTACTTCAAAATGTAATAATTTAACCTACAGAGATCCTCTGATAAATTTTTCTTTTATGTGTGAAATAATATTAAAAAATCAAAATGGCTCAACAAGTTTGAGAAAAGGACAGTATCTATCAAAGCAGTACACACAAAGATCTATGACCAGTCATTACACTCCAATATCTAGCTCTCTGAAAGGCAGATGTTTGCAGCATCATTATTTGTAGCAGCCCTAAACGTACAACTACAAGAATGCCCATGAACTGTAAGTAAATTACTGGCTACTACTTAGCAAAGAGAATGGACAAACTACAATTACACAGAAAATATAGAAGAATCTCATAAATCTCATAATATAATGTTGAATAATAGAAGTCAGACCAAAAAGACTTTATTGTATGATTTCATTTACAGATATTTTAAAAACAGGTAAGACTAATCTATCATGTTAACTGCCGATATAGAGGTGTTAGTAGGGTGGATATCTAGGGTGCTGGTTATGCTCTGTTTCTTGATCTGGATGTTGATTAGGTGGATATATTCCTTTTTCAAAACTCCATCAGGGTATGGAGTAAGAAACTGTGCACTTTTCTGTGTATGCTACATTTCAGTAAAACATTAAATAATCTGGCTCAGTTCCCATGAGCATGGCATTAACTGGCTGCCTCCTCTCAGCTTCTGTTTTTCTGATTCTTTTTATGTTGGACTGTCCATGATTCAGCCCTTGGACATCTCTATCTACAGTCACTTCCTGGCTGATCTCATCCAGCTTCATTAAAAAGTATGATGACTTTTTAATACAATCAAATACCCAATGACCCCCAAATTTACGTGTTATATTTGGCACTCACCTCCAGGCTCATATATCCAACTACCTACTCAAAATCACCCAGTTGAGTATTTAATAATAATCTCAAACTGAACGTAACCAAAACTGAACTTCTGCTATATACTTCTAAACAAAAAATTATATTCTATTTTATATTTTCCCTATGTCAGTAAATGATATTTCTATCTTTTCCTCTTGGGCCAGAACTTTAACATCGTCTTTGATTCCATGCATCTTTCTTTCACATGCAACATAAAATCCATAAACACATGCCATCACTTCCTTCTTTATAATATGTGTGTGTGTGTGTGTGTGTGTGTGTGTGTGTGTGTGTGTGTGTGTACATACATGCAAATTTGGATTCCTTTTTATTTCCTCCACATTCCACGTTGGTCTAAGTCATTAGCAACTCACCTAAATATTTCAATAGTTTGGTAACGAATCTGCTTGCTTCCATTATTTCCCCTCCCCCATGCGGTCCATTATGGATTAAATGTTAAGTCAAATCACATCTGTCCTCAGCTGAAACCCTCTCGGGGCTTCCATCTCACTCACAGTAAAAGCCAAAGTCCTTCAAAAGCCTATGCCATCCTACAGCAAAATCAGTTGCAGTTGCCTCCTCAGTTCCCTCTGCTACTACCTTCCCTCAATCTTGCTTACCCAGCTGCTGTCACGCTTGCCCTTGGCTGTTCCTAAAGTACACCAGACTATCTTTTGCCTCAGGGCTTTTGCACCTGCTGTAGTGCAAGCGCAGTGCTGTCTCTCCAGACATCCTCCTGACTTATTCCCTCACCTCCTTCCAGTCTTTGCTTAAGTGTCACTTCCTAGAGATGGCTACACTGACCACCCTATTTAATGCCCTTTTCCACTGCACTCTCCATCCCTATCTCATTTTTGTCAATATCACTCTCTTCCTAATACACTGCGTGGCTGACTTCTTTATTTTACTTATTGTGTCTCCCACACTAGAATGTATGCTCCACATCGGCAAGGGTCTTTATCTGTTTTCTTCACTGCTTGATCTCCAGTATCTAGAATAGGACTTGGCACATTGCAGAAGGCTTAACAAAATGTTGTTGAATAAATGAGTGAACGAATCCAAGTTCTTCATTTTATGGATGAAGAATGTACCCAAACTGTCAACGGGCTTGAAGGCTCATATCCATTTGGCAGAAGAGTATTGCTAACATTTCTCATTTATAGACATCTTCTCTAGTGCTCTCTCCCGTTTACTGTGTTCCTTCCTGGGGCCCAAATTACAGAACTCATGAGTATGAGTTCTGTGCCACTTAGTTCCTTCTCAAAAAGAGTCAAAATTATGGCCTTTCAGGGGAACATATTTTATTTGCAACAAAGTCTTACCTTTTTCAGCAGGCAAAAAAAAAAAAAAAAAAAAAAAAAAAAAAAAGCAAAAAAAACCCATATTTGTCTCCTCCAGGAGTAATTTCTCATTTGCTTGGTTTTCATTTGTTGAATTAATGGGTTGAGTGTTGTAAGGACATTGTGTAGTGATTGTGTTCTTCTTGACTTTTAAATTTGGCCCAAAGGCATGATTTGTCTCCCTTATTCTCTAATTTTCAAGTTACATGTTTAAAAATGGAACCTGGAGACATCCAAAAGATTTTCTTTTTATATTATTCTGTCTCTCTTTCCTTTATAGGGGATGAGAGATGCTGTGGTTAAGAATAGGATCCAATCTAAGTCACAAAAAAGTGGCCTATTATAAAACTTCTGAAAAATTTCCACAATGACCATTAAGGGGGCAGATGGTTCTCTGTCTACTGAAAAATGCTGTGCTAAAAGGTCACATTTCTTAGGCACCCAGAGGGCTCTAGGAATGGTTTGGAAGTTAGAGAATGAACAAATGTGGTGGAGAGTGCTGATTCTGCTCTGCAAGATAATGTTACGTGCTTCCCCCATTGTATTCAGTGGTCAGGACCTGAGGTTTTATTTAGCACAATGTTTTTCTTACTTAATGTGAATCTAGACCAAAAAGCTGCCAAATGGAAGCTCCCAAGTCTTACTCAGACCATAGTTAATGTTTTTTTGGTTCACATGGTGTTTTTAAACAACTGTTGCCAATATTTAACACCTTTCATGGATTTTGCAGCTCCTTTTAGAAGAAAATTCAAGATCTGGCAACACTGTGCCCAAGCTTCTCTAAGGAAGAGATTGTCAAAGTGTGGTGCCTGGACCAGCAG
Organism: Homo sapiens; assembly: GCF_000001405.40. Taxonomy (NCBI): domain Eukaryota; kingdom Metazoa; phylum Chordata; class Mammalia; order Primates; family Hominidae; genus Homo; species Homo sapiens. The sequence continues at coordinate 8,631,242 of NC_000020.11, read as the reverse complement.
CATTAGCATCACCTGGGACCAGTTAGAAATGAAGATGCTCAGGCTCCATCCCAGACCTGCTGGGGCTGGGGCCCAACAATCTGTGTTTTAACAGGCTCCCTGTGTGACTGTGATACGTGATGCTCCAAGGTAACAGTGGTACTTGCAAATCTTAAGTTTCTGGCTGAGCACTTTCAGTGTGGGGGAAAATACTCTATAGAACATCACAGCCAGGGAAGGCAAAATATTCTCCATAGCTTCATTAATTATACTGGGAACATCAAGTAGCCCCTGGGAAAATCTCTACAGATGCACTCCTGAGAGGGAATATTACAGGGATTGGAGATAAAAATCCCTAAGGAAAATTAGTGGCTAGTAACCCACAGAGAAGAGGAAATTAAATATATTTTAGATAGGACTGCACAAAGGCTTAATGCAACTTAAGATATGCAGATTGATGTGTAATATAAATATATTTACTCTTAGCAAAAGCTTCCCTGAAAGCCACTGCCATTTATTGCATGTTTTTAATTGAGATTTAGTGCATCCCATAAATTGGTCACTTTTTATAAAAGGAATATAGTTCATTTGGGGAAACATATTTTAAAAATATTTTGCAAACACTTAGAATCTGTTTTTTCTGTATTAATTTATCCATCCAACTATCCATTCATATACAGCAAAATAAAGTATATGTCACACAGACAATGTTCATTGAACTGAAATCTCTCCAAGTATAAATGATACTATAGAAATAAATGGGTAACTTGGCTTATAAAGAGAGAAAGTAGATTCTGTTTACAACATACTTGGAAAGAGTAGTTTCTAAAGACATTAGAATATTAAAACTGGTTGGCATTTTATGCATCCCATTATAAGAATTAAAGTCAATATTACATAAGTGTTAGAAATAAATCCCTGCCAATAATCACTAATGACACAGAAACCAGGACAATCAAGACCATCCTGGTCAATATGGTGAAACCCCGTCTCTACTAAAAACACAAAAATTAGCTGGGCATGGTGGCATGCGCCTGTAGTCCCAGCTATTCGGCAGGCTGAGGCAGGAGAATGGCTTGAACCCAGGAGGCAGAGGTTGAAGTGAGCCAAGTGGAGTGCAGGAGCCACTACCTGCACTCCAACCTGGCGACAGAGTGAGACTCCATCAAAAAAAAAAACAAGAAAGAGAGAGAGAGAAAAAGAAAGAAAGGAAAGAAAGGAAAGAAGAGAGGAAAGAAAGGAAAGAAGAAAGAGAAAGAAAGAAAGAAAGAAAGAAAGAAAGAAAGAAAGAAAGAAAGAAGAAAGAAAGAAAAGAAAGAGAGAAAGAAAGGAAAGAAGAGAGGAAAGAAAGGAAAGAGAAAGAAAGAAAGAAAAGAAAGAGAGAGAGAAAGAAAGAAAGAAAGAAAGAAAGAAAGAAAGAAAGAAAGAAAGAAAGAAAGAAAGAAAAGAAAGAAAAGAAAGAAAAGAAAGAAAGGAAGGAAGGAACCAGGCCAACACATCTGGTGTAGCTCAGAAAATCACCAGAGCACTGAGGGTTAAAAAATTGTAGATCACAATACTTAGACAATGCACACTGACATGAAGTGACCCTGTAGTTGTGATGCATGACATGAGAAGCTCTGTAAGGCACATATATTATATGCAGAACTCAAAGTTTTCTTAGATTCATATTCTCAACTCTTGAAGGAAGTTATATGAAGGAGAAGGACTATCACTAGTATTTTATAAACTATAAAAATGGAAAAAGAAAGCTCTTCTTTAAATATGTTCATTTCAGTATTCTTTCAATGACAATTGGACGTTTCTAGAGAAAGCATTGCACTTGAATCCAGGGGTCCTAGATGTTCACAGCTTCTTGTTTGCTACATTATACCTGTTTTCTAGCTATTTTTGTAAATATCTGAAAGGCTTGCTCCTAGTGAAATGGCAGCTCCTCAGTGGGTGGGCCATATCTAATTCATCTTTCTAATCCGTAATTGAATAAATATTATTTGTTCTTACTTAATATTATTTTCATTATTATCTAAAATTTTTATTTTAAACTGTTAGTTTTTCATTAGTCTACATATTAACTGAGTAACTACTACATGGATTATGGTGGGCTAGTTGCTGCCCAGGGATTAAGAAGTTTAAAGAGGGCTGAAGATGTCTGTCCCCTAGGAGAGAGCTGGAAATGACACGGACTTAGAAGTGGCATAGGGATGAGGCTAAGAGAGAATGACTTGGGAGAAAGTGTTTAGATGAAATAGAATGTGGTTTTATTTGTATTTTGTTATGCAAAGAAACTATATCAAATGCCTTATTCTCTTTATTTATTTATTTTTTTTTTTTGAGATACAGTCTCACTCTGTCACCCAGGCTGGAGTGCAGTGGCAAATCTTGGCTCACTGCAACCTCCACCTCCTGGGTTCAAGCGATTCTCCTGCCTTAGCCTCCCAATTAGCTGGGATTAGAGGTGCCCGCCACCACACCCAGCTAATTTTGTATTTTTAGTAGAGACAGGGATTCACCATGTTGGCCAGGCTCATCTCAAACTCCTGACCTCAAGTGATCTGTCCGCCTCGGCCTCCCAAAGTGCTGGGATTATAGGCATGAGCCACCGTGCCCGGCCAAATGGCTTATTCTTTATGAAAAAAATCTCCATAATTCTTAAGTTGATGCCATTATTTAGAAGTATTTTAATTGCACTTATACTTGGCAGCTGAATTATTTTTAGGTGAAATTTTAACACATGCTAAATATGACAAAAATTCAGTCTTTTGCAGGCATTAGTATGATAGCTCAAGGATTCAGATCATGATGATAAGCTTTAGCAATTTCCATCCACCATACCTTGGCCACTTCTTCTTGGAAAGCCACGAGATTCAAATGGGAGATGTTCACGAGGTCAGGCCCATACACCACTGTGATCATGCGCTGCTCCAGGCGCCCGATGTTCCCCACATCCAAAAGTTCACGTAATTTGGGGTCCTGGGTAATAAATATTGAAAATAATTAGTCTATAACTAGAGATTCCAACGTGATAGCATAACTTCAACTTCTGTTGAGTTAGAATGATTTCAAAACAAAGTTGCTTTTATTCTTACTAGAAAATTGTAGGAGTTTAAGGCTCCCATTCCACAAATGGCCTAGAGAGATGAAGCAACTTGCCCAGAGGTAGTGGAGAGACAATTTCTGGCTCAAGACTATAGCCTGCAGTTAAGTGCTCTTTCTGTGATCCTATCACACATTTTTATGTGTCATGGTTCTCTATTTCCTTCAATCATCCCATAAATTGTGTATTGCAATGAAAAATCTCTATTCTTCTCCTTAATTCCTGAATGCACTAAGACAAAGAAGGTGGTTATTCTGAAATTAAAATATGACAATGCCTACGTAGGACTAGGGAAGAAACACAGCCCTGGCTCTCAGCGTAGACCTGCTCCAACAGTCAGTACTGATGCAAAGAGACACAGAATTAGCGTGAGCAAAATCGTAGTGCCTGCCATGCATATGTTGATTTCAGTTCTGTCCTCGGAATGTACTGGGATTTGGACATAGGGAACTTCTGCAGTCTTTTTAGAGCAAGTTGCATTCTTTGGGTCATCATAAATGGAAATCCTTTGGAGATGTAGTCCTGCTGGGAAAGGGAGTTTTCCAAACATTCAAAGCTCAAAGTGAAACCTAAAATAGGGCTCAGTCAGCTTGGCTGAAGTTATTTCCTCCCATAGGACAGGCCCTGAAGGAAATGAGAAGTCCATGCAGAAAATTAGCATCAAATCAATCACTTAGCAAATTTGCTGGCCAGCTTCTGAGCCAGGAGTACACTTACATTCTTATTTATTTAGCTAAATACTGGGCCAACAGGTCCTGATTACTTAGACTGGCTATTCTGACCTCTTTTTGGAGGTTTTGATATACAGCATCCTTATGAAGAAATAGTAGATGTTTAAAAAAAATCTAAATAGTAGATGTTTAAAAAAATAGTAGATGTTTAAATAAACCACACACAACCAAGAAAGAAAACAAACAAAACCTTTCCAGCTGAGTTACTTTACTTGGTGCCATTAATTCTCTCTTTAGTTAATAAAACTTTCTCTGTTTGGCTGCATGAAAAGTCACCTTTTCAGGAAAGTTATGAAGAAAGAAAACCCCATTTCAAAGCTCTGCCTAATATAACTGAAATCTCACTTTCACTAACAAGTTGAAACCTTATCAAGTACATCAAGCCTCCTAGAAAGATCAAATGCTATCACTAAAACATCAATTTGCATGACCCAGAAAAGGAGAGGTCTATATCAAAAGTTTTATTAAATAAACAATAATAGCAAAAAAGGGAAACATTTAGCACTCTACCATTAACGAAAGATTAAAGGAGAATGTTCGGGAAGAATGAATGTTTTGTGAAGGCTAATTAAACTTGATAACAAGGTGTTTTATGAATTGATTAATTGCATCAAAGTTTTTGAACACCATTGAGACAAGGTTCAAAGAGAAAACATATTAGTACTTGTAATTTTGTGGGGTTCTTTTTGGTACACTCAGAAGAGAAAAAGCATTCTCAGAAATCACCTGAAACTTGTAATTATAAATCACACGTTTTAAATCAGTGATTACAGAGTCCATCAATATATTTACTTCCACAGTCTTTAGTGGGAAAATATTTGGAGATGAATCAGATCTATACATTGGACCCTTTCTTTCCTTCCAGTGATAGCCACACAACTCATTCTCCGGCTTTTTTCTCCCCCAAGCATTTTTTGTTCAGTCTACATTATTTTACTGCCTAATTCTCATGTCCATTCAAAATACTTTTGCTCAAAACTTGATAAACAGATGATTGGTTAAAGATCGCCACCTCTCAGAATTGCAGATACTAGGTTTGGGGGTCAGGGATTCTCTTGAATCATCCTTAAGATAAAGGAACTCGAGGCAAGTAAAGACCACCCAGAGTAGGTGCTCAGAGTAGAAAACAATTCTGGAAAAGAGCTTCTGGGATTTCCACTAAGAATTTATAAGAAACATGACCAACTCTCTGAAATCTTTGTTTGAAAAGTTTCCCCAGTAATTGTTGCTCATATATCTTTTCTTTTTTTTTTTTTTTTTTGAGATGGAGTCTTGCTTTGTTGCTCAGGCTGGTGTGCAGTGGTGTGATCTCAGCTCACTGCAACCTCCACCTCCTGGGTTCAAGCGATTCTCCTGCCTCAGCCTCCCGAGTAGCTGGGACTATAGGGGTGTGCCACCACGCCCGGCTAAGTTTTGTATTTTTAGTGGAGACGGGATTTCTCCATGTTGGCCAGGCTGATCTCGAACTCCTGACCTCAGCTAATGCACCTACCTCAGCCTCCCAAAGTGCTGGGATTACAGGTGTTTTATATTTTTTAAAAGACTATTGGTCTTTATATAATTAGAAATTTATAATGAAGTATTTAGAAGTGATGTCTGGAATTAGGTGGATGAAACAGGCTGGTAAAATGATGCTGCTGATTGAATCTGAAGGGTAAGTATTTGAGGACTCACCACATGATTCTACATCTGGATGGTTAACATTTGGGAAAAAAAAATTTAAAAAGGTTTCTGTGTATGAACTAAAGGAACACTTAGATTTGAGAAACACTTACTCAGAAGAAACCACAATATTTTAAAACCATATAGTTCTGAATGTAAACAGAGAATTTAAAGTATGTAACAAGCCAAGTTTCTTACTAACGTCCTTTTTCGGTGATGGAGCACATTGATTTAAACTATGCTTTGCTTTCTTTTCCAGCACTGGTCATTTTATCTTTAAAACTGTATCTTTTCTTCATTTATTTCATTTTTATCAACACTAACCTTGATTATGTTAGAATTCTCCTTTAAGAAACAAGTTCACTCTTTATTTGACCTGTACTCAATAACGTATCTATTTTTGAATGCAGCTCTTTGTTGAGCATATTGATACGCAAGGGGTAGACCGAGAAAGACACTTGTACCTTCAAGTTGTCCTCAGTTGTTTTCAGACTTTCAGAGAATACACAAAGAGGGGATTGTCTGGACGGACAAACTGCAAATGCATCAAGTTTTTAGAGGACTTTATAGGTAGAAGGAATTTGATGAAAACAGATGTGTAAAAAGTGGTTGTTTTCCAGAGTATGACATTCTCAGTTCTTGGGAAATGGGTGGCTGTGTTTCAGAAACAAACAAATAAAATCAAAATAGCAACAATAACACAAACTGATAGACAACTTGCATGCAAACCACCTTATCTCCCAAACCTATTCTACCAAGGAGCTTTATGTCTGAGTATTTCTTATAGACTCAACTTCCTAAGAAGTTTCCAGAGAAGGATTTACCTACTCAAGTAGGTAAATACCTGCAGAATATCCTAGATGTATCTCCACAGCTGAAATTAACCAGACCAACTCAGAATCCTGGCAGCTATAATTGAATTCCACTTTTAAAGTTAAATCTAGATCATTTCTGTTCCCATAAGTGCTACCAAATAAAGACTGTCTGACTAAGTAAATTCATTTTCTCTCAATCATCAGGATTTGTGATTAAATTACTTCATGTCTGTTGCAAAGAAAGTTGAGTTTTGCTCTTGTTAAAGCTCATGTTAATGATTCCCATTTTCAGGTAATTGGCCACTGAAGAAAGTAAAGACTGTTCTACACCTAAGAAGCAAGGACTCAATTACAGCATGTGTTACTGCATTATATCATTTAAAATATTCAAAATTAATGGAAGGAATAAACACAGGCTAAAGGATGATTTAAAAAAAGAGTTAAATGCTGGTTTGAATCCTTACTTTTTAATACCACTTTTTAAAAAGGTTATTTTATTTGCATGCCAAGTATCTACAAAATAAAACATCTCTTCATGACCTTTAGATTTTATTTTTGATACCAGAAACATTTTTCGTGCAGAAGATATACCTTACTCATTTTTTCATACTCATGAAATGTATCTTTATTGGATTGTAGGCTTATCCAATGATTTGTGTAGGTTAATTTGATTCCCTGCACTTAATGCAATATTCTCAATCTGAATTACAGTTATATGGATGGAACTCAAATCCATTCCTATCAATCATCAAGCATATAAGAGGCTTTCCAGTAGCACTCAGTACAACAGTTGGAAATGAAAGAGATGGATTCCTTATACTTAAGTGAGATTCGTGTGATTCAGCTTCATAGTGATAAAGCTACCTTTTCTTTGAAGGCAGAGCCGACTTGCTATGCTTTATTCAAATTTCATTGTGGAGGAAATGTATAAATTTACGTCCAGGCTGGTTTCCCATCAAACCCTTGAATTCAACATTTGCATCTCAGAAAATAAAACACAGACTAACAAATTCCCCTTGAATCAATGCTTATCCTCATACCTCTCATTTTCAAGGTTTCTTTCTTTTATATATGAGTGTGATGAAGGCTATCATTCTGTTCACCAGGGTGTACCAGTGGCTTAGGCGGCTCACACAGCCAGCAAGCCTTTATAGAGGAAACACCTATCCACTTGCATCAATGATGGCTCTGAAATATGGTGCTGTGAATATTCTTCTAAATAGAGCAAAAGACTCGGAGGATGTTACTTGTTTAAGTATTTCTTTCCCACAAGTAACAGATGGAAAATCTTTAAATATTTTTTAGCTATTTTTTTTTAACTAGAGGGAGTAGAAGGAGAACAGACTGACTATGTCAAAGAAAAGCAACTATGGGTACATACTAGGAAAAAAACGAGCTGGTAGAGGACTGCCCTTTCATATCCCGCAGTGGCATTACCATAACAAGAGTATTCATATTTGTTTTGGGATGGAATAATGATGAATTTATAAAGTCACTGTATAAGTATAGAAAACTGTTGATGAAGAAGAGAAAATATAATTAGCTTAGCCATGCATCTTCATCTGAAATAAAGCGGTTTGAAGCTGTCAGGCTTGAATTGATTGAGCTAAAGTGAACACACTATTTAAGTCTAAAACAAAAAAAAATTAGAAGAAACACGAAGGCGATCATCCAGATAATATTCTCCTGGTTCACAAACAGAGAAGCTAAAAGTTCCCTGGAGTTCCCATGGAGCTAAAAGTTTGGTTGTTCTTGGAAGCAGTCAGAGAGAAGAGATAAATAAAGTTAAAGGAGCATCCCTAAATAGCATCCTAGATTTTCCTCATCTCCAGGAACAAGCTCAGGGTCTGGTTTAATGCAGTTTCGAGAGCTAGGAAGGAAGGAAAGATAAGGGGCTGCTGGAGGGCATTCAGGCAGGCTGACCATAGAAGAAGCAGAAAATGGGATTGAAATAAAGTATCCACAGTCCTTGGACCAAGAAAATTGGGCTCAGAATGTGGAGAGACAGCTTCAGAGCTGGGAAAATGCTGCTATTACCTATTTCAAAAAGTTGCATTGCCTGAGCTATTAGGTTGGTGCAAAAGTAATGGCAAAACCCCAATTACTTTTGCACCAATCTAATAGTTTCCCAGGTTGCAATACACATGCTTGGCAGACAGGATCTTTGTCTGGATGCCCCAGAAGCTGACCCAATCAAAGATCTGAGGACAAGTAATTTATTTTGGAGATGATTGCAGAAAGCACAGTGAGGAGTGGGGAAGTAAGACAAGGAGGGAAGAAGGTCTTTAAAGACTGTGTTAATTTAGCGGTTTACCATTTTGGGCAACTGAGGCTCAAAACACTAGTGCCATTTGGAGACAGAATGAAGAACACATCTTAGGATGTCCCTAAGTAGCCTGGAAACTGCAGCATTTATCTGTTCAGTCTCATCCATCACTGGTGGACAGTCATTCCTGGTGTGCTCTCTTGCATTTCCATAGCCGGAAAACATTCTTAGGACTATATGGGAACTCTCTTTAGGTAACCTCTGTGAGTGAGCCAATAGAATATCAATGGATTGAATACACCTGTTACAACATTAAAGAAGTGATTATAGGAAATAAGGAAATGTTATCTCAATATTGATTAATCTTCATGTATTCTATGGGATCTATAATTGAAAGAATTTCATCAGATAGGCTACTAAGATTCTTTTTTTTTTTTTTTCCTGAGGCAGAGTCTTGCTCTGTCACCAGGCTGGAATGCAGTGGCGTGATCTTGGCTCACTGCAACCTCTTCCTCCCTGGTTCAAGCGATTCTCCTGCCTCAGCCTCCCGAGTAGCTGGGACTACAGGCACGCGCCACCAACCACCCCCTAAATTTGTATTTTGAGTAGAGACGGTTTCACCATGTTGGCTAGGGTGGTCTCCATCTCTTGACCTCGTGATCCGCCTGCCTCGGCCTCCCAAAGTGCTGACTCTGTTCAGTTCTCTATAAAAATGATACATATAACAACAAGTTCTTCTAATTAGTGACTGTGTCAACTACCACACCAGCTGTTCTGTATCTTCTTCCACCTATTTAATCTGCAAACTAACACAGAGAAATAGCTATTGTTATTCCAATTTCACATGAGGTGCTGAAAGATGAAGTAATTTGCTCAGTTTTATAAAATGGTGTAAAGGGAGATTTGAATCCAAGTACACCTGATGGTAAACTCTAAGCCCTCTCCATATCACACCGTGTTACAAAGTATATCCAATTTGATGCAGTTTATATAAAATAGTGCAAATAGTTCAATTGGCAGAATAAAACTTAAATAGCACTCATTCAAGTTACCTTGTTTAGCGATATTTTAGGCAGTTTGTTAAAAATATAAAATAATGCATATGAGAAATCAAAATAGGAAAGAAAGGTGGTCTCATGGAAGTGCTTGCCTTCCTAGCAAAGAGTCGAAGCTAAATGGTCAATTTTAATCATTATTTGTACAATCATCCTTGCTGAAAATAAAAGTGCATGAACTATAGCAATTTGAAAACTAGTCAATGGAAAAAGTAGTTAGCTTTTTCCTCCTCATTGAGTCAGTATTTGTCAAACTTAAAAATTCTAAAGTATAGACAACTTTTCAGCCATGTTTTAAACTATCCCCCCAGTCTTTTTGACATATGCTACCACCTGTCTGCCAGCAAAATTTGTATGCACAGCCCTTACCACTGCAATGCATAAAAAATCCACATGCCCTGAGGGGTAATGGTGTGTGCAAAGCAGACAATTAGGATCCTATGTGCCTTCCTGTTTAAACCCCCGACAAAGCATGAAAAGCATTATATTCCCCTCAACTTTCATCCAAGGTCAATGCTTCTAGCTATCATAATGACGCCTGTTTGTTAATAGAATGCACAGACACTTTTACAATGAGTCCGCAGCATCTCCCTAGTTGATGAGTTCTTTATTGGTGAGATTTAAGTTTTCCTATTTTGTAATGATATCTACTTCCTTCCATGGTACTGTGCTATAGTTAGATGTGTCAAAGGGGCTTCTAAAACCTCAGAGCATAATTTAAAATCAAACATATCAAAAAAGGAGGATGACAATTTATTAATAATGACAAACACGATGTTCCCTTTGTTAAGAAAATCCATCATCTATGCTGTGAGCTTTTGACACATGGAGGAAAACAGCAGACAGCCTGTATTCTGTTTCTTTTCTTTTCTTTTTTTTTTTTTTTTTTTTTTGGTGGGGGCAGGGGACAGAGTTTCTCTGTCACCCAGGCTGGAGTGCAGTGGTGCAATCTGAGTTCACTGCAGCCTCTACCTCCTGGGCTCATGCGATTCTTAGGCCTCAGCCCCCAAATAGCTGGGACCACAGGTGCACACCACCAGACCTGGCTAATTTTTGTATTTTTAGTAGAGTTGAGTTTTTGCTATGTTGGCCAGGCTGGTCTCAAACTCCTGGCCTCAAGTGATCTGTCCATCTCTGCCTCCCAGAATGCTAGGATTGCAAGTGTGAGCCACCGTGCCCAGCCAGACAGCCTGCATTCTGTCTGGCTTTGAGTTCCGGCTCTGTCGTTTGAAGAAATGTGAACTTAAAAAATTTTGTTAATCATTCTGTGCCTCAGTTTTCCAAACTGTGGGATGAGGATAATAGTAGTGTCCCCTTAAAAAGGTTATTATGGGAAATAAATGAATCATTATATGTTAAGGGCTGAGAGCCGCACATAACAAGTTGTGAGTACTTGAAAAAAAATTAATAGCTGGTAGTATACTTAAAATAAGTAATCAATCATGTCAGTCACCACAAAAATATATTAATTCTTTATGTACATGTGACACATTAGAGTTTGCAGATTTGATTTTGATCACCACACTAATGCTGTAAGGTGACCAGGCATTGCTATTATCATCCACCTTGAGGGAAAACTAAGTTGAAGCTCAGGGAATACAAGTTGCCTAATTTTCAAAGCTAGTTAAATGGAAGAACCAGACACTGAAAAGTTCTACAAATGAAAATGAAACACAATATGGGGGGAACATACTGAATACTTTAATCTCTTATAGAGACAAGAACATTTTAGTATATGTATGTATATCCATTTACTTACTTTGAGATTTGTCGATCAGTATGTATATTTGTGTGCACATTTAGGAATATATTCATGGTTTGTGTATACTTGACTACCTATATTCTAAACATTTGCACTTTAATTTTGTTTTTCCCTTAATTCATTTTTCCATGGGAAGCTTAATTTAAAGAGTGCTAAAGGACAAGTCATTTCTAGATCTTTTCAGTTCCTGGTTCTTCCATTTAACTAGCTTTGTAAATTAGGCAACTCATATTCTCAAAGCTTTAACAATGATAATAGCAATGTCTGTTCACCTTATATCATTAGTGTGGTGATCAAAATTAAATCCTCAAACTCTAATGTATCACATGTACATAAAGAATTAATACATTTTTGTGGAGTCTGACATGATTACTTATTTTAAGAATGCTATGAAAAAATGCAGTGAAATAAATGTTAGCTTATACTTATCTTTTTCTTTTTTTCTTTTTTTTTTTCTTTTTAGACAGAGTCTTGCTCTGTCGCCCAGGCTGGAGTGCCGTGGTGCAATCTTGGCTCACTGCAACCTCCGCCTCCCGGATTCAAGCAATTCTCCTGCCTCAGCCTCCTGAGTAGCTGGGATTACAGGCACATGCCACCACGCCCGGCTAATTTTTGTATTTTTAGTAGAGACGGGGTTTCACCATGTTGGTCAGGCTGGTCTCAAACTCCTGACCTCATGATCCATCTGCCTCAGCTTCCCAGGCATGAGCCACCGCACCCGGCCTCTTTTTCTTCTTAAAATTATAAATGATTGTAGGAGTTAAAAGGAGCGAGAAAATTTCCCACCAGTTCACTACAGGTAACTGAAGGAGTTTGAAGTAAATGGGTAATTTATCTATAAAGCTAAATATAGATGTGAATACGTATTTGCTGAAAGTTATAAAAATATTCTAAGAGTAAATACTATTTGATTTTCAGATTTATTTCCTTTGTTTTATTTATATACCTTTTGTGTTACTCTAGATACACATGGGTTAACTATATTCTATAATACATAAAAATCAATAATATACCATCAGAAACACAGGGATATAAAGATCTTAACAATTCAAAGCCTTGATAAGGTTTGATGTCTACTTTTATAAGGAATAACTAGTTGCATTTAAATAAGCCCCGTCTTCAATATGCCTTTGTGTGTGTGTGTGTGCTTCTTTTGAGGTGAAAGTAAGAAAATGTCTTCTAAAATGCCTTACTATTGATCCATCAAAACACATTATACATGAAGACCAAAGTTGTCATCTCTAAGACCTCAATTTTCAATAAGAAAAAAATTGTCTTGTGAGTTATGTGATTGTGTCTATTGTTAGTTATGTTATATGATTGTAAAAGCTATCACCAGAATTGTTAGTGCAATTCTAACTTTTTTTTTTTCCTTTTTGTGGAAAATGGGGTCTCACTGTGTTGCTCAGGCAGGGCTTGAACCACTGGGCTCAAGCTATCTTCCCACCTCTGCCTGCCTAAGGTGTTGGGATTACAGGTGTGACACACTGCACCCAGCCAGTACAATTCTAAATAGGGAATAGAAAGGAAATTTAAGGAGTGTAAAGCTCTCTTAATTTTAAAAAAATTTTACAAAAAAGCAGTAAATATTCCCAGGACATTAGTCACTTCTTTTAGTTGTTGGCCTGCACTGATTAATTTTTAGGCAATTATTTTTTCCTTTTGTTCTCAAATCTCGTTCACTTTTTTCACATTTTTCTCTTCATCTCCCTCTTCACAGCCATCATTTCTCTCCCCAACCAATATTTTCCCAGAGGATTTTTAAAATCCTTTGAAAACTGGGAAGTCAAGTGTTCTTGCATCTTCCTAAGAAGATATTTAATGCATGAAATATTTTGAAATGAATTATAATGCCACCCATTTTATATGAAGAGAATTCAAATCATCCTATTGTCAAGAATTAACTCAAATTATTATACTTCTTGACTCCTATAATTAATTTATTCAAATATTTTCTATATGGTTAATTTATACCAAACACTATCTTAGGTACTTAAAAAATAGCAGTATATGATATGGGATTAAAAAGATATATATATAACCTTTTTTTCTCAAACGAGTCCCACCCAATATGTTTTTGTGAAATGTAGTTTAGAAGAAATGTGGTTTAGACGATTGGAAGATTCACAATTCCACTTCGACCTAAGATTTCCTAGTATTGCTAGGTAATTTCAACAATGAAGTACAAAAAGACAGATTACATTGGGCCATGAATTGGTTGCCTCTTGTGGTATGCCGGTAAATGTTCAACAACAGGCTTTTAACAAATCAAAACAAACAATAAATAACAAAACCAAAAAACCCAAAACAACAACAACAAAAGCCTCCAAATCCCCGAATGTTAGCATTTACTGTTTTCCATGGTGTAAATACTCCCAACATAGCCAATTTCAAGCCACCCTGATGATCTCACTGAATTCAGAATTGAAAAAAAGATCAAGTAGCACACAATTTCACCATAGAGCTACAAGACTATAAATAGCCTCAAAATCATACTTAATCATAACATTTAATAAAATAATTAGAAAGTGATGAGTTTTGAGTATTCATTACCTGCATTTTTAGTATAATTTATTTAGCTTTAAGTTTAAATTATTTAATTTATCATAATGGCTGTGTGTATCAATCTGTAGCAAATTTAGCAAACATTTAACAATTGGCTCTCATGAACTGGTACAAGCTGGCTTCAGCACACTGCCAGTTACATTTACAGGTGGTCTGTAAGTCTTAAAACTTAGTAGAAGGATGACTCTATGCTCCTGGGAAACAGGAAAAGGCCTCAGTTTGAACAGCATTGCTCCAAATCTCTTATTGGCATCAATTTTTAGCTCCCATCTGGCTTTCTTCTTCCCAGCAGGAGATTGCATCATGAATGCTTTCAAGATCTCTCTCCTTAGGCCTTCTCTGGGATACATAAATAGAATCCACTCTGAGTATTCCCCAAGAATAGTCCTGTTGGGCCTAGCCTCCTGGGCTCTATATCTCAGATACAAACTATTCTTGGGGAATACTGAGTGCAGTACATACAGTACAGTCCAACTCAAAGGGAAATGTAATTAGGATATTTCACTATAAAGTTTGATGACTTATGCAGCTTTCTCCTCATGGGGGAATCTGTTTCTTTAGAGAGGCTCTGCTGTTGACCAGTGCTCCAAGATTCTTTTGTAGAAGACTCAGCATTTTCCTTGTGCTTGGGGGCATCTGTCTCATGGTCTTTATTCATCCAGTAAACAAATATTTATTGAGCACCTACTATTTATCTGGCACTGTGCTAGTTAATGGAGCTACATCAGTGAACAAAAACAGATGCTTACACCCTGGTGGTGCTTACATTCTGGCAAGGAAACGGGCATTAAATTAATCAAACAGCCTCATTAATGTGTGCAAAAGAGTTTAGTAGGTGAGTCTAACATAATTAATGAAATCAGAGAGGGCTTCCCTAAACAAGCATATGATGAGTTGAAATTTGAAAGATGGAGAAGAGTCTTAGATGAAGGAGGGTTTAGTAAGAAGCACTTCAGGCAGTGGAGTAGCATGTTATGCAAATTTCTTGTGGTAGGAGGAAGAGCAGCAAGGATGAGAAAATTAAAAGCTAGTAGAGAAGGTTGGGTGAAATGAAGCTGTATAGGTAAGGAGCCAGATTCTGCAAGGAAGTAAGGTTTGTTCTTGTCAAGGCATTCTAAGCCCTCAAGCAAGGGGAAGCCACCAAATGGCTTTAAACGGGGGAAGGATGGAATGTGACTTGCTAGAATATGGGGGACAGATTTGGAGAGATATGTAAGAGGCAAAATCAGCTTGACTTGATGTTGGATTCAGTTTTGGGGTTGAAGAAATGGAGGTGTCAGTAACAACCCTCGGTTTCTGAACTGCGTAACTGAGAGAAAGGAGTTGTAGTCAAGAGAGGCAGGGAGATCTGGAGAAGGACCCTGTTGGGGAGGAGTACAGGGTATGATTATGATTATGAGTTTGGTTTTTGATATGCAAAGTCTGAGGTGCCTTTGGGGCCATCCCTCCTAGGAGAACATAAATGTAATTGGAAAGGTTTTATGTACCAGGGTATGGTATAGAACACAAAGCCCCTGATTTCAGTTTTATTCCGGAGAGAAGTTCAAATACAGCAAAAGCAACTTGCAGAGCAAGATGTCAAGTAAATTTGTTACACGTGCTCCTCTTCCATGGATTTCAGGTCATTGTTCTTTAATTCTGAAATTTTTTTCCCTTTGATTCTTGTGTTAAAGTCATTTTATATTTATCAAAATGTTGTCCAGGAGAGCCAAATAAAGTATGTTCATCAAAGAATGGTTTCTAAAGGGATTCAAAGAGAGGTGACACATTTTGGATAAATCTCAGAAGGTGGATAATAACAAAGATGTCTGTGCATTGTTGCATTCAGTAGGGAAAGTGGATACTTGAAAATAAAGGCACTTTATCAAAAACATTGATTTCTAAAGCTATTATGTTTTGTGAAGGTGGTTTTGAATAGTGATTTGGAACAAAAAAAGCATCTCCAAAGCGTGATGTATTAGATGGTCCTCTACATATAACAAAAGAACTATAAATCACTGTCTTCCCTATAAATTTGATTTTCCCAAACCCAACTGATTTGCAAAATTCTTAAATATTTTAGTACATTCAAGGCAACATATATAACAAAAATCATTTAAGGACATTAGACAGAACAGTATGCAGCTTTTTAAAGTAATGTTTATGAAGAGCTTTAAAGAATAAGATACAATGCTTATGGTGTATTAGATATAAATACAACATTAAAAACATGTACATATTGTCATTCTGTGCAACTATGAGCATTTAGAACAAAGACTGCAAGGAAATACAACATAATATTAACAATGCTTATTTCTACATGGTGGAATCATAGGTGAGTTTTTTCCAGATGACAGAACCTTCTGAATATGAATTAATTGCATGCTCATAAAAAGTTCAAGCAATTTAGAAAATTAAATGAAATTAACTCCAGATCCCACTAGCCAGAAGCAACCATTAAAAACATGGTGGAGAACATCTTTCCAGACCAGTGCTGTCAACAGAAATTTTTGGTGATGCTGGGACTATTCCAAATCTGAGCTGTCCAATATGGTAGCCACTAGATACACATGGCTATTGAATACTTGAAATGTGGCTAACACAATTTTTAATTTGGTTGAAATTAAATTAATTCAGATTTAAGTAGCAACATGAGGCCAGTGTCTACCAAGTTGAATGGTGCAGTTGTAGACATTTCTCTACATAAACACACACACACACACACACACACACACACACACACACACACAGAATTTTACATAACTAGAATCAAAGTAAACATATTTATTTGTAACTTGACTGCTTACTGATATACTGATAAAATATTTATAAATATAGAAATATATTTCCCTCTTAATTTGGTTCTGTAGTATTCTACTATATAGATGCACCATAATTTATTTAACATATTTCTCATCATTGGACAGGTTTTATTATTATAAACAATGCTTCAATGAGCATCTGTGTGTGTGTATGTGTATATGTGTGTGTATATATATATATAATTGAATACTTGAATGATAATTTACTTAGGATAAATTCCTGGTGTGTAATTGCAGGGCCAAAGGTATTGATATTTCAACTTATCGTACCTACAGCATGTGAGATCACCAACATGGGTTATTGACAATTTTTTTTTATCTTTGATAGTCTGCTGAAAAATAATAGAATATCTTGTTACTGTTTTTATTTGTGTTTTAAAATGACTAGTTATTGGAAATATATCTTCTTATTTATTGGCCATTCACATGTCTTTTAGAGTAGAAAGAGTTTGTTAAGGCTATAATCCCCCTATTCAAGTAGGATTTATTTTCTTATTGATTTATAAACAACCTTTTTTTGGGCTGCTTAAGTGTTTATTGACCCTTTGCCTGATATATATGTTGTAATATTTTTTTCAAATGTATCATTTGGTTTAATGTCAAATGATGTGGCATTTTCTCCTATAGAAATTTAATTTTTTTATATTTGGTTCTATCAATATTTTCACTGTAATTTTTCTGATTTATTGCCATGTATAAAAAAGCTTTCCTTACCTTGAGATTATAAAAATATTCAATTTACAGGAATTTATTTTCTCTTCATCATTTTATATACTTTATAAATGCTTACAAGACCATGAACTCATTTCCTTACTATAATATTGAGAAAAATATAAAAATAAAATCATTTTTCAAAACAACTAAGAATCAAGTTTTCTTTTCAGTGGGAATTTGTGCTGATAGTTTCTTTTCAATCTATACATGAGGACTTACAAATGCTAAACCTTTTATAAGAATCTTATGACATGGATTGAAAGTCACATATTAGCACAGAAGGGAGCCACCTATTAGACTGTCTTCTGAATTTCCCCTTGTGAGGTATATTTTGTACCTTGTAAGTTCAAATACAGCAAAAGCAACTTGCAGAGTTGCTAACAGACACGGCTAATGTCCCTGAAGTTCAGTACCCAAATGTTGTCCATTGTTAAACTCATCACCCCCAGAAAACCCTGAAATGGCTCTGCAATTGTTATGCTCTAATACCTGAGCACTTGAATAAAAATATCATAATTGATAGTTGTGGTCATTGATGTCATTTTATATGATTGCTGTTTAGGCTAAGTGTGTGGCACACAATTCCTTATACATAGAAGAAATTATGAATTCAGCATGGTATTGGACAGTATTGGGCACTTCTTGTGGTGCCTTTCAACATATTATTTTTTCTTTTAAATAAATAAAGAGACGAGCATTTACACATTTCATGTATGCAATAGAGCCAATATCCACAGTTCCAAGCTCTACTGCTTTATCATTAAAAATAAAGCAAACAGAATGGGCTTGTACCCACCCACACATCTCACATCCAGATCTGTCTCTGCTCACTCATGTGTTAAGCTGGGCCATGTCTAAGGGTAACACTGAAATGTGGTTATCTAGTTAGAACCCCAAATTCTTCCTGAAAAGTCATTAACAGATGGTGACTTTCTTCAGATTGTCTCAGAAAATGTCCTTCTTGCGGGTACAGCTCAGGGGTAGAGTATTTGACTTCAGAAAATGTCCTTCTTATAGAAAGAAGTATGGCTGTGTCATTAATTAGGTTGGTAGTTCCATTTTTGTGTAATGAAGCTCTGCTAGGGAAGGGGCTTTAAGCTCTCAAGAGCACAGGGGAGGCTATGGAAACCTAAACAACCTGATACATGTGGCTCAATCAGTAACTGGGGCAGAAAGGTCTAAGGTAATCTACAGATCTATGGGGTTTAGTGGATGCGCGATAATCCAATGCACCTATGGAGCACAGGACATTTAATCCCTATGGAATATGTAAACCAGAGTGTAGTTGGACTTCCTGGTGAAACCTCTGGAATTTTACTACAGGGAGTTGGGTTAAGCAGTGAAACAACCATTGTTGCTATGCCACCCTTCCTCCATCCAATGGACGGCAAAGATGAGGGCTTGAGAGCTGCCTTCTTCAAAGCTGACTTGTGGATCTTTATGTCATAGAATCCCAGGAAAACTCTGAACATTTACTGAAGCGACCTCTCCTACAATAATTGATTCACCTATATGCAAATGAATGTTCCAGGAGCTCTACCAATACCATAAACATACTTTTTCATTTGTGTTTTTTATTCATTCAACAAACTTTATGCCTTTATTGCCATTTTCTATACCAGGGTTATGTTTATGAATGTGGCACAGTCTTTGCCCTCAAGCTTCTAATGATCTGGTAGAAGAGGAAAATACGTAGATCCTTTTAGGACAAAGGGATAAATGCTTTTGGAGCACAGAGAAAGGCCAACTAACTGTTTTTAAGGAAGTTACAAACTTCCTTAAAAGCTAGTTGGTTTTTCAACAGAGAAAACTTGAGGTGAATATATCTCTAGTTTGTTTTATTTATCCTTTTAGAGACAGAATCTCCCTCCATCATCCAAGCTGGAGTACAGTGGCACCATCACAGCTCACTGTAGACTCTATCCCCCGGGCTCAAGCAATCTTCCTGCCTCAGCCTCCCGAGTAGCTAGGACTGCAGGCATGAACCACCATGCCCAGCTAATACGTCTCTTAAAAGTTTGCAGATATAGAAACAGTGCCAAGGGAATGTTCTCAAACTACCACTGGAAATACTAAGAGAATTGATTGAAGAGTCCCTGAATGTTTCCTGCACGGTCAATAAAACTCTGTAAACTATTTCATCAATAAAATGTTTTTTAGTTGATATTACTAGGCCTCCTGGTTATCCTAGTCCTTATAAAGAAATTGTTTTTATAGGCTCAAGAAGTAAAAAACATGATATAGCCATGTTTTTAGAACTGAAAGGACCTTTTTATTATTAAAATAAAGTCATAATACAGGCTTCTTACATTTTAAGGTAATCAACCCAGACTGACTAGGTAACTTGATGTGAATGAACTGACTATAGTGAAGCCTTTTTTGGTGATCCCTTTATTAACAATTACTGATGTCGTTTTAATTTTAAACCTTACTTAAGAATTTTTCAACACTTAGGCTTAAGCTTATCAAAACCAAAGTATTTCCCTGAATTTTAAAACTAAGAATTAAAGAAGATGGTGCCCAATGGCACCATTTTAGTTTCTTGTATACATGTTTTCTTAGCCTTCAAAACACAATATTTTTTTCCTTAAAATAGAATTTTACATTCACAAAGAGCTTGGCACATATATAGGTGTCAACCTCTATCCCACTTCATCATTTCATCCTTACCTTCTATAAATAAAAAGTAAAATAAATAAAAGTAAAATTTTAAGTATAAATTTCCTTACTAATATAAATCCTAGGTTGATTTTCCTAGAAAACCTGAAAAGAGATACATTTCTTAGATATTTATAGTTTACCATTTATTTAAGATTTTTCTTTAAATTAGCAAATTTCATACATTAAAATATGTTTATTTAAAATAAAACTTCTCATCATTATCATAATGAGCTTGGACCCTTACCTCACACTATATGCAAAAATCAACTTGAAATTTATCATAGACCTAAATGTAAGAGCTAAAACTCTAAAGATCTTAGAAGAAAACCTAGGTATAAGTCATTGAGATCTTGGGTTAGGCAATGGTTTCTTACATAACCAAGAGGACAAGTAACAAAATAAAATATAGATAAATTGAACTTTATAAAAAACAAAAACTTCGTGCTACAAAGGACACTATCAAGAAGGTAAAAAGACAACAAAGAGAATGGGAGAAAATATTTATGAATTCTATCTGAAAGGAATTTATCAAATAAACTGCTGGTGGGAAGGTAAAATGTCATAGCCAATTTGGAAAACAGTTTGCAACTCCTTAAGATGTTAAACACAGCCATCATATGACCCAGCAATTACATTCTTAGGTATATACCTACGAGAAATGAAAACATGTCCACACAAAAGCTTATACCTGAAAGTTCATAGCAGCATTTTTCATAATAGCCAAAAAATAAAAACAATCCAAATGTCTATCAACTGATGAATGGAAAATCAAATATGGTATATACATGCAATTGAGTAATATTTGACAATTAACAGCAATGAAGTACTGTTATATGCTACAACATGGATTAACCTTGAAAACATTATGCTAAGTGAAAGAAGCCAGTCACTACATACCAGGTATTAGGTTGGTGCAAAAGTGATTGCAGTTTTGGCCATTACTTTCACAAGCAAAAACATCAATTACTTTTGCACCAACATAATTTTATATGATTCCATTTATATGAAATTTCTAGAATAGTTAAACACATAGAGACAGAAAGGTAAATGGTTACCAGGGTCTGGGAAGAGGAAGGAGGGAAGAATGCTTATTAATGGGTAGGGGGTTTCTTTTTGGAGTGATGAAAACATTCCAAAATTATATACTGATGCTCATTTTACATCTATGAATATACTAAATATACTAAAAACCACTGAATTGTTTACATTAGAAGGGTTAATTTATTGGTGTGCAAATACAGATATTCACCCTAAAGTACCTGTGCACCCTTTGTGATGTGTATACCATGCTTTCAAAAAAGTTGCTTCAGAACACATGTATGAAGCTGGCCATGGTGGCTGACACCTGTAGGTGGCTGACCACCTACATAGTGGGCCGAGGCAGGAGGATTGCTTGAGCCCAGGAGATTGAGATTTCAGTGAACTATGATCGCACCACTGCACTTAAGCCTGGTTGACACAGCACGACTCCCATCTCTTAAAAAAAGAACCATGTGTAAATCATGGAATTCAGTGTGTTTGAAGAAAACTTCAAAATATTTTTACTCTTGACAGATGCTCAAGTTTTCTTGGCCTAATAATAGGTGGTAAATTGAAGAGAAAAAAGATGGTTAAAATAGCAGAGACTGACTAGATAGATGCGTTGGAGCCAGCAGTCATAACATGCACAGCTTTTGAAGGACACATTTAGCTTGGCATAAAGACTTTTAATTCTTAACTCTCTTAAACTGTACCTCACTATTCTTGCCTCATCCAAGTGCTGGAGCATTTTCAAACTTTTAATCTCCTCATTCTGATGCTCTAAGTCACAAATATTAATGTTTGAACCATGTCTTGTATTTTTGGGAAATGTATAGTTATGACATAAGTCAATCTATTAGGTTGATGTAAAAGTAATTGCAGCTTCTGCCATTGAAAGTAATGACAAAAACCGCAATTACTTTTGCACCAACCTAATAAAATCTGTAGCCTCATTTCCAATAGCTAAGACTATTTTTGCTCTGTTGACATGCCTACTGCATATATGAAAAGTTGGAGGAAATTAACACTTTCAAATCAATAAAGTTTTTCTTATTTTGGCAGGGAATAAGAGAAGGGCATTTAACTTCCCCTTAGCTCCGAAAGCCCTAGGGATGCTAGGGCCAGTTTGCTAGGGTATATTGAAAAGATTAAGATGCTTATATTTATACATCTCAATACATTTCAGGAGCTAATAGTGCCAAATTACAGAGGCCATCACTGTTGTGCAATTGATGATTGCTGCAGTCTTCTGATTATGGTAAAATAGTGAATTCATTCAAATTTAAGAAACTATAATTAAAATAAAGCTCTATCTGGAACCCAAATAATTACCTCTAATATTTTTATTTCTTATCCTCATTCCTTCATTTATTTATTCAGAAAATGTTTGAGTTGCTACACTGTGCATGTTGCTATGCCAGCTGACTCATATTTGTGTTTTCACAAAACACATTTATGAAACATTTTATAAAAGTCATTAGTGTCTTATGCAGGAAAATACCCTATAAATCTAAGTATCCTTATCTAAATATCAGGAACTATTTTCTTATTTGAGTTATTTAACAGATGTCACATGATAATGTAAGGCTATCTAATTTGGGTGAGGAATGGGACGTTACATGATAAAGTATGTTTTGAGGCAAAACAAGTTTGCCCTGTGGGTATACCCTTTTCCTTGAAGCCAGAGTTGATTTCCAGCTCATTTTAAAGTCCATTTAGGTCCTTGAGTAAAGAGAGTAATTTTGTTTATCAACCACATGGTAGAGCCCCAAATCTTTACAGAATCCCAAAGCTCATTTTCAAAGAAATTTTAAATTTGCCTGTGATATTAGGTCCTAGACTATGTAAAAATGGAAGCTTTTAAGTTACACATATTATTTAAATTTTGTGCTCTCTCTGGCTATTTTAAACATGTATTTATGGTTTTATTTTTTAAAGAAATAACATGCATGCATTAAAGAGCACAGAATGCATTAATTTTAAGTACACAACTTGATGATCTCTACATTTTACACATCCTGTAATCACACCCAAGTACATAGAGATAGAGCACACACTCCCAGCTCCCTGTATATTCTAGTCATTAAAAAAATTGTTGGACGAGTAAAAATTGTATATATATATGGTGTACAACATGATGTCTTGATACATGTATTCACTGTGGAATGGCTAAATCAAGCTATTTAACATAAGCATTACCTCATATCAGTTTGGGGGATCATTTTTATATCTAACTTTTAAAAATTCTAATTCTTAAATTCCTCAGTCTATTCATTTTTAAAATCATTCTGACTATATCCATTCATTCACTCACTCATTCATGCAATACATATTTAATGAAGGCAAAACATGTGTCAGGCACATGTAAATAATGCATATAATGCTTACAGGTAGAAGAGCAATAAACACACAACTGTAATGAACAAGAACATTTCAGAGAAGAAGTCAATGATGAAAATAAAATGGGGTAAGGTAAAATAATGAGTGGATTGGGGTAGGAACATTAGATAAAAGAAAAAGGGGCTACACCAAAGTCTGGAGAAGAGAAGAAAGTTCCAGGAGGTGCTGATACCTTGGGGTGGGAACGGATTGGCTTGCTCCAGGAACACAGAGTCCAGAGAGGCTGGAACATAGCAAGAGAGCGGCACAGTGATCTGTGATGAGGTGGTTGGGGCAAAGGGCAAATTCTAATCCAAGTCACAAGGGCTCTTAGAGGGATGGAGTTTAGATTTCTATTTGAAACACAAAAGAAGTCCATTAGGTTTAATGCAGGGGAGTGAAATGATTTAATTTATATTTTTGGAAGATCACTTTGTCTGCCAATGTGCAAAACTGGAGGCAGGAAGCCAATTAAGATGCTATTTCAACTGAGTCTATTTCATGGAGGTTGGACTAATGTGAGGTCTATGGAGATGGAGAGAAGTGGATGCGTTGGATGTAATTTGGATATGGAGGCAACAGGCCTGGCTGAGGAATGGGATGTGGGACTGTGGTAAATGGTGCTAAGGGAAAGAAAGAAATTCAGGAGAATTCCCTGGTTTTGGCATTATAAATGGGGGGTACTGTGTTGTTATTTATCAAGCCCGATATTAGGGAAAGCTATGGATTTAGAATTGGGAACCATCTCCTGCCTAAACTGTTAGAGCAACTCCCTTATTGGTGTCTACTTTTAGGCATGCTCCCCAACAATTCATTCTAGAATTGTAGCAATTACCAAAACTGATCCAAAAGAAAGGGAAATTTTTAACAACAGATCAAAAATTAAGAAAGACCTTGAAATACTTTTCCAAGTGTTGTTTTAAAGAAATGTTTAGGGCTCATAAAGGTTTGAGAGAAATTCTGTCAATCTATCACAACAAGGATAAATTCTACATTTAGTAATAAAATAAACAGATGCAGAACTTTTTAATTTTATGAAGCCATCAAGTCCCTCATTCAAAGCCTGACAGAATTGATGTAAGCACAGACAACATAGGCCATCTCACTTACAAATATAATTGTAAATATCCTAAAAAAGACACTAGCATATTGAGTTGGGTAGATAGGGCACTAATAATAATTGTAATCATACTAGTGGTAGCATTAGGGCACTAATAATAATTGTAATCATACTAGTGGTTGTCATATAATATTGATGAAGTTTATTCCGTGTCAGGCACCTTGTGGATTTTTTTTTATCAGTTTTTTGAGGGAGATGCTGTTACTGGCTTTCTTCTTTTAGAGGAGGAAATGAAGGCACAGAGAGGTTAAATAACTTGCTCTGTTTATGCTCCTGGTTGGATAATCTTATTTTGCAAATCCATGGAGAAAGTACTGTGTTATTTAATAAATGATAAAAACATGTTTTAACTGTTTGGAAAAATTGACTTAGGTCTTTTTACTATCTCACAGATCACATTGATGTTCAAATAAAGCGTTAAATGTAAACAACAAAACCATGATGATGAAACTATAGGAAAATTTGTACATAATATTGGAATAGGAAGGCAACACTATGAAAGAGAACACTGAACATAAAATGTTTACAATAGCAAAGTCATGGAATCAAGCCAAGTGCCCATCAATGGATAACTGAATAAAGAAAATGTACTATATGTGCACTGTGGAATACTACACAGCCATGAAAAGAATGAAATCATGTCTTGTGCAGTAAAATGGATGAAATGGATGAAGCTGGAGGCCATTATCCTAAAAGAAATAACTCAGAAACAGAAAATCATATACCACATGTTCTCACTTACAAGCGAGAGCTAAACCATGGGTACACATGGACAGAAAGATGACAATAATAGACACTGGGGACTCCTCATGTGGGGAGGATGAGAGGAGAGTGAACGTTGAAAAATTACCTATTGGATATGATATTCACTTTTTGGGTGGTGGGTACACTAGAAGCCTAAACCTCAGCATTATGAAACTTGTCCATGTAACAAATCTGCACATATACCCTGAATCTATTTTTTAAAAAAGAATGAGAGCTTTTTTCTTTAAAAAAAAAAAAAAAAAAGAAAACACCAAACATAAAATACATGTTAAAATCAAAATTAACAAAAATACAATAAACTGGAAGAACAATTTGACAAAGAGGTTGATGTTTCTAGTATAAAAAGAGATACCACAAATAAATATATTTGACAAGTAATCAGCAAAAGCACAAAATATAGGGGTAAGGTTGTTATATTTTAAAGAAAAATGAAGTATTAAGTGTGTTCAATTAAGGGGAATTCAAAATTAATCAAGTGAACTACGTCTATAAGTGGAAATACTATATGGCCTTCAAATGATATTGATATTGTAGAAGAATATTTCTCGTTAAGAAAAAAAATCTGATATGGTAAGGGAAAATAGGTTTTAAAATGGAATATGCTGTTTGTTATTAACTGTACTCTATATATGTGTGATATGTGTTCACACATACATATATACTCTCACAAGATACAACAGATTTTACTTCTCAGTTCTGAGAGTAAGGGAAATTGTTTTTTTAATGTATTTTACGATATTTTCCAGTATTCTATATAGTAATGTATTATGTCTATAATAGATGTGTGTGTGTGGGATTACAGGGTTATACAGTAAAATAAAATGTTACTTCAAGCCTTAATTGATTTATGTTTTTTACATTTAGTGAAACTTCATAGGATTAGGGTTTTTTAAAAAATAAATTTACTTAAAAAAATCCCCAGTGATATTTATAACAAATATATTCAGTAGCTAACAAACCCTCTACCCAGAAAGGACAACACCCAAGACCTTTGTGTTGCACAATTCCAGGAGGCATCCTCAGATCATATTATAAAATAAAATATTCTATATTACATTTCAAAAGAAATAAAATTCTATTCATACAATGCAATGTGAATAGACCTCTTGAATTGCCCAACATGAGGGTGGAGGTACTATAAGATATTGCCTGAAATTTAATTTTAAAAGCCTGGTTTTTACTCTTCCTGCCTCTTTTATAGTCTTCACCCTAGCAATGACAGACAACCAAATAATGCTTTCCCTTGTTTTGCTTGTAGTTGAAAACTGTTGTTTGGCTGATCAAGAAATTCTAATGAGAAACTTTCCATGAAAAGCACTCAAATCACAGCTTTACAGATACTCTGTTTTATATGTTTACTTGGGAAACCTTAGTAATTGTATAATTAGAATGCATCATATCATATGTGTAAAAAAAGAATTAGGATGTACTCAAAATAAGAATGATTAAGAATTGGAAATTGTTTAATTTGCAGATTTCTTTAGACTGGCATATCTAAAACACTTGAGTTTCATTTATATTACATATTTTTAAAAACAAGGTGAAATTTACATAACATAAAATATCAAAGTAACCTTTTTTTTTTTTTTTTTTTTTTTTTTGAGACAGGGCCTCACTCTGTTACTCAGGCTGGAGTGCAGTGGTATGATCTTGGCTCACTGCAACCTCCACTTCCCGGGTTCAGGGGATTCTCATGCCTCAGCCACCCAAGTAGCTAGGATTACAGGCACATGCCACCATACCTAGCTAATTTTTGTGTTTTCAATAGAGACAGAGTTTCGCCATGTTGGCCAGGTTGATCTCAAACTCCTGGCCTCATGTGATACACCTACCTCAGCCTTCCAAAGTGCTGGGATCACAGGCGTGAGCCACCACACCCGGCCAATAGTACTCATTGTTAAAGTGAAGAATCCAGTGGCATTTAGTACATTCACAAGGTTGTGCAACCACCACCTCTATCTAGTTCCAAAATATTATTAACACCCCAAAATAAAATTCTGTACCCATTAAGCAGTTGAAATCACCCACTTTGACCTGTCCAACACAAAGGATCATAAAATTGAAAGCTGTTAATGTTAAGTGGTAGAATTATTGGTTAGTGTCAAGTTGAAACACACATTTACAAAAGTGGTTCTCAAACTTAGGTGTGCATCAGAATTACCTGGAGGATTTGTTAAAACACACATTGCTAGGTCCAACCCCAGAGGTGCTGATTCGGTGAGGCAAGGCCTGAGACTCTGCATTTCTAACAAGTTCCCAAGGGATGCTGATGTTGCTGGTCTAGGGACTGAGAGAAACACTGATCTGTGAATTTAGACACAGTTGAATGGACAAGCATGGCCCCTGTGTTGAAGGCTCCCTCCTCTTTGTAGAGAGAGCAGTGGCCCATTTGGAGCCAGCTGGTGATGCTAAAACCCACACGCTGGGATTACCAGAAAGGTCGTTTGAATTTTATCTAGGAGTCCCACTTTAGGCAAAGTGCAAATGTTAACCCGATTTTGGATGGGAGCCACTTTGACAACCTTAAACATTGAACTTAGCCATAGATTTAGAGGGATGTATATAAAAGAGGGTTACTTGATTCCCGAGATGTATTTTTAGTTATAGGTGCCATTCAGAGAGAGTTAAAGTCAATGAGAAAAAAGAAAAGAAAATCTTGTATTTCTCTTCTGGCACATTTCTTTAAATAACAAGTATGCTAATTTTGAGAGAAAGTAGAATTTATTTTTGCTAGAGCATTTGTCCTGTTTGTCATACACCGTAGACCTTTCATTTTCTGTGTTTCGGTGTCCTTCATATAATGCAAATCATCCTGCTGTACAAACCATGTGATACTTTAACAATGAGTTATATATATCTGGGGCTTTACAAAAGTAAGCAATGCTAAGGACAAAAAAACTAGACAGACAAAATGCTGGGCTTCTACCAGAGGAGCTTCAACTGAACCACACCTCTGAACACCAGCTCTCCTTCAAACATCCATTTAGGAAAATTTTATTGCTTGGTAAGAACAGGAACTTTCTCAACTAACATATTCACTTTTAACTATGCTTTCAGTTTCTCTTTCATAAGCCACAGAAATTAAAATCCCTTTAAATAGAAAGGCCTATGTATTTGACATCACTGTAATTAAAGCAGTTAAACTTGCAGCACACAGGTTTTCTAAATCATCAAGAACAATAGCTCAAGAAGAGAACAATTAAGCAAAATTTTGAACACTTTTAAGCACTCACTCTGCTTGCCCTTTAAATGACAGAGGCTTTTCTGTTAATATTCTTTGACCTGAATGCATTCCTCAATTAGGATTCTGAAGAATTTGATTGGGTTTCAGCTAGAATCTGTAACCTCTGGTTAATCATCGTGTATTACACAGCTTGTGGATAAAATATATTTGGACAGGGATAGATAAGTCTATTCATGTTAATTCACCATTGACATTCAGGGCTTAATTCAATTTTCAGAAGTGATGATATCCCTGGCATTTCAGCAAGCCTATTTTAATTAATATCTCTACACCTCTTTAAATACCATTTTGTATTTTATACACCTGCTTTAAATTAAGGCAGTTTAAGGTCTGTTATAAAAGCCTCTATTCTAGGAATACCAAGAGTCAACCTTGCTTTTGATTAAAAAAAAAACTTGGTGTTGGTGTCATATACTCTTCTTTATTTAGAATATCCATCATTATGGGTATTGGAAAATTATACTTTGTCTCATAGGTTCAGCTTTTCAAACTAGTCTCATGAGAGAACTTTAATTCTTATCTGAGGCTAGAGAAGATGCTGCCCAATGGAAAATACATTAAGTGACATTGGAGGACCATCAGATATCCTAAAATGTGGAAGCCATCAAGACCTAAGAGATAAAAGGGTGATGATGGTGAAGGTGTTGGTGCTGCAAGGGAGGGAAAGAGGAAGGGATTGATAGAGCTGTAGAAGAAAACAGCCGCAACACTTCCAGAACAAGCCTGGTCTCAAAACAAGGGGAGATCATACCAGTTAACACTAGCAGGTTTAGACAAATTTTCCATTGCAAACTTGGCTCTCTATCAATGTCTGGTAGCTTTCTAGCAAACATTAATCCATCTGCTTTACTCAAGTGCAAAGAAAACTTGCTCAGAGGTGTTCTAGTTTAGGAATGAATAACCTGGGTGAGTCCTGGCTTTGCACATCACAGCCATGCTAGTGGGGGCAGTCACTCAACTCTTCCACTTCCTCATCTACACAAGGGCTCAGTCAGTGATCAGTACAAATTAGCACATAGAAAGTGCTCAAGAAATGTTAGCTTTTAACATTTCTGTTATTACCATTATTATTTTTAAACCCATAATATACATTTTCACAATGGGTATCACAAGTCAGGGAAATAAATTAAAAACCAACTCACACGTTCTCACTTATAAGTGGGAGCTAAATAATGAGAACACATAGACACATAGAGGGAAACAACACACACTGGGACCTATCAGAGGGTGCAGGGTGGGAGGAGAAAGAGGATCAAGAAAAATAACTAATGGGTACTAGGCTTAATACCTCGGAGATGAAATCATCTGTATTAACAAACCCCCATGACACAAGTTTACCTATGTAACAAACCTGCGCATATACCCCTGAACTTAAAATAAATGTTAAAAACACCCTCAATTTTCTCTCTACTTCTTTGGCATGTTTAGGTTATTTTTAGCCTCTTAACAGTCTTCTTTTGCTCCTTATATTTTGTATAGACAGGGGGAGGAGCCAAGATGGCCGAATAGGAACAGCTCCGGTCTACAGCTCCCAGCGTGAGCGACGCAGAAGACGGGTGATTTCTGCATTTCCATCTGAGGTACCGGGTTCATCTCACTAGGGAGTGCCAGACAGTGGGCGCAGGTCAGTGGGTGCGCGCACCGTGCGCGAGCTGAAGCAGGGCGAGGCATTGCCTCACTTGGGAAGCGCAAGGGGTCAGGGAGTTCCCTTTCTGAGTCAAAGAAAGGGGTGACAGACGGCACCTGGAAAATCGGGTCACTCCCACCCGAATACTGCGCTTTTCCAACGGGCTTAAAAAACGGCGCACCAGGAGATTACATCCCTTACCTGGCTCGGAGGGTCCTACGCCCACGGAGTCTCGCTGGTTGCTAGCACAGCAGTCTGAGATCAAACTGCAAGGCGGCAGCGAGGCTGGGGGAGGGGCGCCCGCCATTGCCCAGGCTTGCTTAGGTAAACAAAGCAGCCGGGAAGCGCGAACTGGGTGGAGCCCACCACAGCTCAAGGAGGCCTGCCTGCCTCTGTAGGCTCCACCTCTGGGGGCAGGGCACAGACAAACAAAAAGACAGCAGTAACCTCTGCAGACTTAAATGTCCCTGTCTGAGAGCTTTGAAGAGAGCAGTGGTTCTCCCAGCACGCAGCTGGAGATCTGAGAACGGGCAGACTGCCTCCTCAAGTGGGTCCCTGACCCCTGACCCCCGAGCAGCCTAACTGGGAGGCACCCCCCAGCAGGGGCACACTGACACCTCACACGGCAGGGTATTCCAACTGACCTGTAGCTGAGGGTCCTGTCTGTTAGAAGGAAAACTAACAAACAGAAAGGACATCCACACCAAAAACCCATCTGTACATCACCATCATCAAAGACCAAAAGTAGATAAAACCACAAAGATGGGGAAAAAACAGAACAGAAAAACGGGAAACTCTAAAACGCAGAGCGCCTCTCCTCCTCCAAAGGAACGCAGTTCCTCACCAGCAACGGAACAAAGCTGGATGGAGAATGACTTTGACGAGCTGAGAGAAGAAGGCTTCAGACGATCAAATTACTCTGAGCTACGGGAGGACATTCAAACCAAAGGCAAAGAAGTTGAAAACTTTGAAAAAAATTTAGAAGAATGTATAACTAGAATAACCAATACAGAGAAGTGCTTAAAGGAGCTGATGGAGCTGAAAACCAAGGCTCGAGAACTACATGAAGAATGCAGAAGCCTCAGGAGCCGATGCGATCAACTGGAAGAAAGGGTATCAGTGATGGAAGATGAAATGAATGAAATGAAGCGAGAAGGGAAGTTTAGAGAAAAAAGAATAAAAAGAAATGAGCAAAGCCTCCAAGAAATATGGGACTATGTGAAAAGACCAAATCTCCGTCTGATTGGTGTACCTGAAAGTGATGGGGAGAATGGAACCAAGTTGGAAAACACTCTGCAGGATATTATCCAGGAGAACTTCCCCAATCTAGCAAGGCAGGCCAACGTTCAGATTCAGGAAATACAGAGAACGCCACAAAGATACTCCTCGAGAAGAGCAACTCCAAGACACACAATTGTCAGATTCACCAAAGTTGAAATGAAGGAAAAAATGTTAAGGGCAGCCAGAGAGAAAGGTCGGGTTACCCTCAAAGGGAAGCCTATCAGACTATCAGCGGATCTCTCAGCAGAAACCCTACAAGCCAGAAGAGAGTGGGGGCCAATATTCAACATTCTTAAAGAAAAGAATTTTCAACCCAGAATTTCATATCCAGCCAAACTAAGCTTCATAAGTGAAGGAGAAATAAAATACTTTACAGACAAGCAAATGCTGAGAGATTTTGTCACCACCAGGCCTGCCCTAAAAGAGCTCCTGAAGGAAGCGCTAAACATGGAAAGGAACAACCGGTACCAGCTGCTGCAAAATCATGCCAAAATGTAAAGACCATCGAGACTAGGAAGAAACTGCATCAACTAACGAGCAAAATAACGAGCTAACATCATAATGACAGGATCAAATTCACACATAACAATATTAACTTTAAATGTAAATGGACTAAATGCTCCAATTAAAAGACACAGACTGGCAAATTGGATAAAGAGTCAAGACCCATCAGTGTGCTGTATTCAGGAAACCCATCTCACGTGCAGAGACACACATAGGCTCAAAATAAAAGGATGGAGGAAGATCTACCAAGCCATGGAAAACAAAAAAAGGCAGGGGTTGCAATCCTAGCCTCTGATAAAACAGACTTTAAACCAACAAAGATCAAAAGAGACAAAGAAGGCCATTACATAATGGTAAAGGGATCAATTAAACAAGAAGAGCTAACTATCCTAAATATATATGCACCCAATACAGGAGCACCCAGATTCATAAAGCAAGTCCTGAGTGACCTACAAAGAGACTTAGACTCCCACACATTAATAATGGGAGACTTTAACACCCCACTGTCAACATTAGACAGATCAACGAGACAGAAAGTCAACAAGGATACCCAGGAATTGAACTCAGCTCTGCACCAAGCGGACCTAATAGACATCTACAGAAGTCTCCACGCCAAATCAACAGAATATACATTTTTTTCAGCACCACACCACACCTATTCCAAAATTGACCACATACTTGGAAGTAAAGCTCTCCTCAGCAAATGTAAAAGAACAGAGATTATAACAAACTATCTCTCAGACCACAGTGCAATCAAACTAGAACTCAGAATTAAGAATCTCACTCAAAACCGCTCAACTACATGGAAACTGAACAACCTGCTCCTGAATGACTACTGGATACATGACGAAATGAAGGCAGAAATAAAGATGTTCTTTGAAACCAACGAGAACAAAGACACAACATACCAGAATCTCTGGGATGCATTCAAAGCAGTGTGTAGAGGGAAATTTATAGCACTAAATGCCCACAAGAGAAAGCAGGAAAGATCCAAAATTGACACCCTAACATCACAATTAAAAGAACTAGAAAAGCAAGAGCAAACACATTCAAAAGCTAGCAGAAGGCAAGAAATAACTAAAATCAGAGCAGAACTGAAGGAAATAGAGACACAAAAAACCCTTCAAAAAATTAATGAATCCAGGAGCTGGTTTTTTGAAAGGATCAACAAAATTGATAGACCGCTAGCAAGACTAATAAAGAAAAAGAGAAGAATCAAATAGACACAATAAAAAATGATAAAGGGGATATCACCACCGATCCCACAGAAATACAAACTACCATCAGAGAATACTACAAACACCTCTATGCAAATAAACTAGAAAATCTAGAAGAAATGGATAAATTCCTCGACACATACACTCTCCCAAGACTAAACCAGGAAGAAGTTGAATCTCTGAATAGACCAATAACAGGAGCTGAAATTGTGGCAATAATCAATAGTTTACCAACCAAAAAGAGTCCAGGACCAGATGGATTCACAGCCGAATTCTACCAGAGGTACAAGGAGGAACTGGTACCATTCCTTCTGAAACTATTCCAATCAATAGAAAAAGAGGGAATCCTCCCTAACTCATTTTATGAGGCTAGCATCATTCTAATACCAAAGCCGGGCAGAGACACAACCAAAAAAGAGAATTTTAGACCAATATCCTTGATGAACATTGATGCAAAAATCCTCAATAAAATACTGGCAAAATGAATCCAGCAGCACATCAAAAAGCTTATCCACCATGATCAAGTGGGCTTCATCCCTGGGATGCAAGGCTGGTTCAATATACGCAAATCAATAAATGTAATCCAGCATATAAACAGAGCCAAAGACAAAAACCACATGATTATCTCAATAGATGCAGAAAAGGCCTTTGACAAAATTCAACAACCCTTCATGCTAAAAACTCTCAATAAATTAGGTATTGATGGGACGTATTTCAAAATAATAAGAGCTATCTATGACAAACCCACAGCCAATATCATACTAAATGGGCAAAAACTGGAAGCATTCCCTTTGAAAACTGGCACAAGACAGGGATGCCCTCTCTCACCACTCCTATTCAACATAGTGTTGGAAGTTCTGGCCAGGGCAATTAGGCAGGAGAAGGAAATAAAGGGTATTCAATTAGGAAAAGAGGAAGTCAAATTGTCCCTGTTCGCAGACGACATGACTGTATATCTAGAAAACCCCATTGTCTCAGCCCAAAATCTCCTTAAGCTGATAAGCAACTTCAGCAAAGTCTCAGGATACAAAATCAACGTGCAAAAATCACAAGCATTCTTATACACCAACAACAGACAAACAGAGAGCCAAATCATGAGTGAACTCCCATTCACAATTGCTTCAAAGAGAATAAAATACCTAGGAATCCAACTTACAAGGGATGTGAAGGACCTCTTCAAGGAGAACTACAAACCACTGCTCAAGGAAATAAAAGAGGATACAAACAAATGGAAGAACATTCCATGCTCATGGGTAGGAAGAATCAATATCATGAAAATGGCCATACTGCCCAAGGTAATTTACAGATTCAATGCCATCCCCATAAAGCTACCAATGACTTTCTTCACAGAATTGGAAAAAACTACTTTAAAGTTCATATGGAACCAAAAAAAGAGCCCGCATCGCCAAGGCAATCCTAAGCCAAAAGAACGAAGCTGGAGGCATCACACTACCTGACTTCAAACTATACTACAAGGCTACAGTAACCAAAACAGCATGGTACTGGTACCAAAACAGAGATATAGATCAATGGAACAGAACAGAGCCCTCAGAAATAACGCCGCATATCTACAACTATCTGATCTTTGACAAACCTGAGAAAAACAAGCAATGGGGAAAGGATTCCCTATTTAATAAATGGTGCTGGGAAAACTGGCTAGCCATATGTAGAAAGCTGAAACTGGATCCCTTTCTTACACCTTATACAAAAATCAATTCAAGATGGATTAAAGACTTAAACGTTAGACCTAAAACCATAAAACCCTAGAAGAAAACCTAGGCATTACCATTCGGGATATAGGCATGGGCAAGGACTTCATGTCCAAAACACCAAAAGCAATGGCAACAAAAGACAAAATTGACAAATGGGATCTAATTAAACTAAAGAGCTTCTGCACAGCAAAAGAAACTACCATCAGTGTGAACAGGCAACCTACAAAATGGGAGAAAATTTTCGCAACCTACTCATCTGACACAGGGCTAATATCCAGAATCTACAATGAACTCAAACAAATTTACAAGAAAAAAACAAACAACCCCATCAAAAAGTGGGCGAAGGACATGAACAGACACTTCTCAAAAGAAGACATTTATGCAGCCAAAAAACACATGAAAAAATGCTCATCATCACTGGCCATCAGAGAAATGCAAATCAAAACCACAATGAGATACCATCTCACACCAGTTAGAATGGCAATCATTAAAAAGTCAGGGAACAACAGGTGCTGGAGAGGATGTGGAGAAATAGGAACACTTTTACACTGTTGGTGGGACTGTAAACTAGTTCAACCGTTGTGGAAGTCAGTGTGGCGACTCCTCAGGGATCTAGAACTAGAAATACCATTTGACCCAGCCATCCCATTACTGGGTATATACCCAAAGGACTATAAATCATGCTGCTATAAAGACACATGCACACGTATGTTTATTGTGGCATTATTCACAATAGCAAAGACTTGGAACCAACCCAAATGTCCAACAATGATAGACTGGATTAAGAAAATGTGGCACATATACACCATGGAATACTATGCAGCCATAAAAAATGATGAGTTCATGTCCTTTGTAGGGACATGGATGAAATTGGAAATCATCATTCTCAGTAAACTATCGCAAGAACAAAAAACCAAACACCGCATATTCTCGCTCATAGGTGGGAATTGAACAATGAGATCACATGGACACAGGAAGCGGAATATCACACTCTGGGGACTGTTGTGGGGTGGGGGGAGGGGGGAGGGATAGCACTGGGAGATATACCTAATGCTAGATGACAAGTTAGTGGGTGCAGCGTACCAGCATGGCACATGTATACATATGTAACTAACCTGCACAATGTGCACATGTACCCTAAAACTTAAAGTATAATAAAAAAATAAATAAATATTTTGTATAGACATATTAATTGCCTTTAAATATTCTATGTCTTTGTATTACACCTAAGATGCATATGTTATGTAGTCTATATATACTTTTGAATGAAAATTCACAGATGCATCTTTAAAAAGGCACCTCGGTGTTAGAATATGGGATGCAAAATTTAAAAACAATTCAAAAGTTTGTAAAATGATTTATTCCTTTAAGAAATGCCTTTTTAAACACCTAATTTGGGTAAGGAACTCTGTTATCTAAGAATGAATTAGAGATGTGCTTAGTGTCTAATGGAGACAAGGTACACTTGGTTAAATATTTTCTTTCTAAAAGAGGTGATTTATCTGCTGTGCTATTTATAAAATGCACTTAAAGCACTGAGTTCATATTGATGTCATTGTCTTAAAAGTGCTTTTTTTTTTTTGGTTTCCTCAAAGATATACTAAGGAGCTTTTGCAAGTCAATGTGCAAAAAGACACTACAATGAGTGGAGAATCAACAGTGCTCTCAGAACTTTGCTCTCAGAAAACTTAAGTTACCAGGCACTAAGTGGCTACTCAAAATGTGGTTTGTGGACCAGAAGCATCACATCTCCTGGGAACTAGGTAGGGATGCAGAATCTCAGGACCGCCCCTAACCTACTTCATCAGGTTCTGCATTTTAACCAGATCCCCAATGACTTGCAAGCACATGAGTGTTTGAGAAGCCCTGATTGAAGGCAATGTATTGTAGCGTGGTGGAGTAGCCCAGGAACACCATGGACCAAACTTAAAAATCCTATTGCTAAGTCCCATTCCAGACAGAATTTTCAGGAGGGCAACAAGTTTCTCAAGAGAGTTTTATTTTCGGTCGAGTTTAGAATACATCAAACAGAAGCTATAAACTGATGTCCTAAAATAACATGGATCTGGGCTAGGCATGAGGGTTCATGCCTGTAGTCCTAGCACTTCGGGAGGTTGAGGTGGAGGATTGCTTGAGGCCAGAAGTATTGCTTGAGGCAGGGTGTTCAAGACCAGCGTGGGCAATATAGCAAGACCCTGTCTATAACAAAAAATTAAATTAACTGGGAATGGTGGTGCACAGCTCTACTCTCAGCTACTTAGGAGGCTGAGGGTGGAGGATCACTTGAGCCCAGGAGGTTGAGGCTGCAGTGAGCTATGTTTGTACCACTGCATTCTAGCCTGGGTAACAGAGCAAGATTCTGCCTCTAAAATAAAATAAAATAACACAGATTTGGGCTTAAATGTCAGGGCTGTGTCTTTGCAGAAAGTAAGCCTCAGTTTCCTCCTGATAATAGAATCTTCCCCGAAAAAATGTCACAAAACATGCAAGGCAAAGTCCATAAAATTCCTGGTATATAAAATGATACATTCTTAGTTATCAAAATTAGTATTGCAAAATTACTATCACTGTTACTTATAAAGACACCTCCCTCACCCCATTAAAAAAATAAAAATAAAAAATCTAATAAAAACAAAAGTAAAATGCCAATAACAGTAATGTTTATTTTCAGTAGAAACAATGTCAGATTATCATTGGTATTATACTAAGGACTTCAAAAATTTATAATTTTCATTTTGTGGGCAAAAATGTAACTGGGAATAAAAGCCTACATGGGGCTGGGTGTGGTGGCTCACACTTGTAATCCCAGCACTTTGAGAGACTAAGTCAGGAGAATTGCTTGAAGCCAGGAGTTGAAGGCCAGCCTGGGAAACAGAGCAAGACCCTGTCTTCACACATACACACACACACACACACGCGCACACACAAATTAGATGGGCATGGTGGCTTGTGCAGGTAGTCCTGGCTACTTGGGAGACTGAAGCAGAAGGATCGCTTGAACCTGGGAGGTTGAGGCTGCAGTGAGCCATGATCTTGCCACTGCAGTCCAGCCTGGGTGACGGAGCAAGACTCTGTCTCTTAAAAACTAAGTATGCGTGTAAGATATGGGGGGCAGGGCCTGTGAGTGAGAGAGTTGGGGCAAAAGATGGGGAAAGGCCTGGGCTATACTACTTACTCAGCAGGCAAAAATATCTGGGCTTGGAATCAGATGAATCTAGGCTCAACCCTGGCTGTGTGATAGAAAATCCTGGAAGCTTTAAAAAATGAGGGGCCTGGATCCCACCCTCAGAGATTCTGATTAACTGGACTGGGTGCAGCCTGGGTTTCCGGAATCTCATGAGCTGCTCAGGGGGCCCTAATGTGCAGCCAGCATTGAGAATGGCCACTGCAGGGCCTTCCCTGCAGCATCACTGTGATGTTTAAATCAGATAATATATGGTGGGCATTTAACATAGAGTCTTGGCCCTCAGTGTAACTGCTAGATTAAAAACAGAAATACAAATTGAGCATCCTGAATCCAAAACTCCAAAATCTGAATGCTTCAAAATCTGAAACTTTTTGAGTGATGATGTGATGCCACAGTGGAAAATTCCACTCCTGATCACATGTGACGAGTCACCGTCAAAATGCAGGTGCACAACACACAGTTTATTCGGCTTCTCCAAGGGGAAAAAAAGACCCTCTCAGGCCCCTTCAGTTGCAATATATATTTTCTGCCCTTATCCAGACTCCCTCCTGTAAGCATTGCCCAGAACAATTAATAAAATGGCACGTATGCTGGCCAGAAATGCCAACAATAGGTTCCCCATGATGTCCCACATGAAGCCAAGACCTGCATGCATTACTTTTTGCTTATTCTCTGCTCTGTAAAGATATTGTTGAAAATGTCAAAAAGGCCTACAGATACCTCTATGGGTAATAGTGATAAAATACAAGTAATCTGGTGATGCTACTTTGCTGCTTAGTTATCCTGAACACATTATTTTTTTTACTGTATTAATGGTTTGTCAATTTTTTTACTAGGTACTTAGGTGTGAATAAGTGTAAGAAGATGATTGCTCATCAGTAACATATAAATTCAGAGACAGGGATGATAGTGGTCAAAGATTGGCCACATGGGCTTGAGATAGTGTAGTGACACATTTGCTTTCTGATTGTTTAATGTACAAAACCTTTATTTCATGCACAAAACTATTTAAAATAGTGTATAAAATTACCTTCAGGCTACATGTATAAGGTGTATATGGAACATAAGTGAATTTCTTGTTTGGGCTTGGGTTCCATCCTCCGAGATATCTCACGATGTATATGCAAGTATTCCAAAACCTGAAAACATTTGAAATTCAAAACACTTCTGGTCCTGAGCATTTCAGATATGGGATACCCAAGCTGTACCGGTTATTGTTACTGTAATATTTGGGATGGCCAGCAAGTTACATGTAATGAAATATGTTTCTCAGTCACCCCCCAAAATATACAAAGAGCTATGTATAATACTGATATCTGTCCCTGGAAGGTATACAATCTGAAGCAAAGACAGGGGAAAAAAGTGCTTAACAACAAATGCTTCTCAGGTGGAAATTCCCACGTGGCCCCTACAGTGCAAAGCATATCAATTGCAAGTCTCAAAAAATAACGTCTCTTAAGTGCCCTGGGTGTGAATACAGTTTACTGACACCTTTGCTCCGTACCCACAGCTGGACATTCTACTTGGGCAAGCACTGAATTTATACTGAATTTAAATTGTACCATAGGAAGTCAGTTTTCCTTTACCTTAGCTTCTAAATTGGAATCTTACCAAACTGAGTTAGATGAAAAATAAAGCTCTTTGATTCTTTATGTTCTTTAGTGTTGCAGGACACACAGAAGTTTTTTTGGCTTCTTTTGCTTATTATCTACTTTGTGCTTATTATCTACTTTGTCTCCCTGGTGATTAAGTAAACCCATGTGGTAGGCAGAATAATGGCTCCCCAAAGTTGTCTATGTCTTAATCCTGGAAACCTGTGGATGTGTTAGGTTACATGGCAAGTGAGTATTAAGGTTGAAGATGAAATTAAGCATGCTAGCAGCTGATCTTATACACCATGGAATACTATGCAGCCATAAAAAGGAACAAGATCATGTCCTTTGCAGGGACATGGATGGAGCTGGAAGCCATTATCCTCAGCAAACTAACGCAGGAACAGAAAACCAAACGCCTCATGTTCTCGCTTATAAGTGGGAGCTGAACAATGAGAACACATGGACACAGGGAGGGGAACAACACACTGGGGCCTGTTGGAAGGTCGGGGAGGGGGAGGGAGAACATTAGGAAACATAGCTAATGCATGCTGGGCTTAATACCTAGGTGATGGGTTGATAGGTGCAGCAAATGACCATGGCACATGTTTACCTATGTAACAAACCTGCACGTCCTGCACATGGACCCCAGAACTTAAAAAAAAAATTAAAGTAGGATTATTCTGGATTATCCAGGTAGGCCTAATGGAATCAAGAGGGCCCTTTAGAGTGGAAGAGGGAATTTGAAGAAAGAACCAGAGACATGTCAGCATGAGAAGGACTCAGCCTAATCTTGCTGCCTTTGAAGTTGGAGGAAGGGGTCTATGAAGCTGGAAAAGGTGAGGAAACAGATTTTCCCCCAGGGCCTCCAGGAAGAAATGCACCTGCTGGCACCTTGATCTTAGCCAAGTAACCTCTACGTCAGACTTCTGACCTATAAAACTGTAAAATAATAAATGTGTGTTGTTTTAAGTCACTGAGTTTGTGGTAATTTGTCACAGCAGCAATAGAAATAGCAACAACAACAACAAAAAAAAACTACCAAAGAGCAAAGAAAAAGGTGACATCGATTTTATATTTTAAGGAACTAAATTTATTGTATAAATAATTAAATTTCCATAAAAGGAGCTAAAATTAACCCAACTGATATTTCTTATATATTTTACATTCATATAATGAGATGAAAATAAAGCAGGATTAATTCCCAACATACGACTTCCGAATTTGTCATAGGTACATTGTGCTGGGAATTTCCTTGGCACTCTCTGGACAAAAAACAAACAGGAATTCTTCAAGGATGTCTCAGTTGAGTCATTCCCAGGCTCCTACCAGGCCCTTTCAAAGTTCCGTGTTCAGGCTTCCTTTTCTCTACATTTATTATA
This sequence comes from Homo sapiens, assembly GCF_000001405.40. NCBI lineage: Eukaryota > Metazoa > Chordata > Mammalia > Primates > Hominidae > Homo > Homo sapiens. The sequence goes on along the minus strand of NC_000020.11, from coordinate 8,590,107 downwards.
TTATTGAAACCATCAGTTTAAGTGGGACTACAATGAACTGAATGTTTATGTCCCCACCCGAAATTCATATTTTGAAATTCTAACCACCAAAGTGATGATATTAGGAGGAGGGGCCTTGGGGAGCTGATTAGGTCATAAGGGTAGAGCCTTGATGAATGGGATTAGTACCCTTGTAAAAGAGACCACAAGGGCCAGCTGTGGTGGCTCATGCCTGTAATCCCTGCCCTTTGGGAGGCTGAGGTGGGAGGATCACTTGAGGCCAAGAGTTTGAGACCAACCTAAGCAACATAATGAGACTTCTCATCCTTACAAAAAAATTAAAATATTAGCCTGGCATGGTGGCACACATCTGTAGCCCCAGTCACTTGGAAGGCTGAGGTGGGAGGATTGCTTGAGCCCAGAAGGTTGAGGCTGCATGAGCTGTGATTGCATCATTGCACTCCAGTCTGGGTGACAGAGCAAGACTCTGTCTCAAAAAAAAAAAAAAAAAAAAAAAAGAGAGAGATTGACCCCAGAGAGAGCCTTCACCCCTTCCACCATGTGAGGACACAATAAGAAGATGGTCTTCTGTCTACGAACCAGGAAGTGGGCTCTCATCAGACCCCAAATCTGCTGGCACCTTGATCTTAGACTTCCCAGCCTCTAGTACTGTAAGAAATAAATTTGTGTTGTTTGTAAGCCACCCAATCTACAGTAATTTGTTATACCAGCCCAAACAGATTAAGACAGGGACCATCTCCCCACAAGATGCTGAATTTTTCAAAGGCAAGGACTGTCTAATTCTCCACATGCTACTAGAGTGTAAATTCCAAAGGTAGAATATGAGTCTGTTTTGGTCACCGATGTAACTCAGTCACCTAGAACTGTGCCCAGTGTTCAATTATTGGTTGAATGAAGGAGTGAGTTTCAAAACATTGTTCATGTCTTCGTTCTGTCTACCCTGATAAAATGAGAGAAGTGCACAACTAAGCCCAAAGACAAAACAGTGATGGGAATTAACCTGGCCTAGCTCAAATGCCACCTGCTCTTGGAGCCTGTACTGGACACTTTAGAAGTGCAGTCTCTCCCCCTTGCTGACTTACCATGATGTCGGACACCCCTCACAAGACACTGGCCCAATGTGGGTTGTCTTGTCCGATATGTGTTTGTAGATTTTTGTGCTGGGGATGGGAGGTGGGAACAAGTGTCCTTTCCCAAGATTGTGTTCTAGTTTTGTGACTGGAGAGGGAATGGGGAAAATTACAAACATCAGAAAAGCCACAGTGCAGAAAACATGAAAGTTCATGAAATCAGCTACATGAGTTTGCTTGGGCTGCCACACCATAACACCATACTTGGTAGCTGAAACAGGAGAATTGTATTTTCTTTCAGTTTTGGAGGCTGGAAGTCAAAAATCAAGGTGTGGACAGGTTTGGTCTCTCCTGCAGCCTCTCTCCTTGTTCTGCAGATAGCTGCTTTCTTGCTGTGTCCTCACACAGCCTCATTTCTGTGCACATGCTTCTCAGATGTTTCTTCCTCTTAGATGAGGGACTGGTGTCCTTCCTCTTATAAGGACACCAGTCTCATTGGATTAGGGTCCTGCCCTTATGACCTCATTTAACATTAATGACCTCTTTAAAGTCCCTATCTCCAAATAAAGTCACATTAGGGGTTAGGGCTTCAACATATGAATATGGGGTGAGCACAATTTAGTTCCTAACATTGGCTATATAAGTAATAAAATATGAATCCTGGTTGCATACACATTTTTTAAGAAGTTAGAAACAAAAATCAAAGCAATTTAAAAGTGTCATTTGTTGAAGAGACAGACCACTACTATGGTGAGCTACTCTACCCTTCTCCAAAATAATTTTGAAAATTATTTCTTTCATCTTCCCACCTCCCCTGGAGGCCTCTTCAGACCAGGTACTGTGTAAGAAGCTGTGTTTTAAATATACTTGAACTTCTCTATAATTCCCAGTGCAGAGCCTTACACGAAGTATATATTCAATAAGCATGTATTAAATCATATCCTCCATAACTCTCAACTATTTTTTACAGTAACTAAGAGTTATGGCTATTTATCTCAACACCAGAGTGACAGTTTCGATACACGTCAGTCTGGTACAGACTTGGTTTCACAAGTTTTTTATTTTGGTGGGGGTTGGGAGAGACTGAATGAAATCTTACAATTTCAAAATTGGAAGTGGCCTGGTAAGTCACCTCATTTATCATTCTATTTTACAGTTATGTACTGTAGAACATTCAGAAATGTTTACTAACTACAATCTCTGGCTACTTTACTAGAAAAAGCTCAAACCCAGGACTCCTTACCTCATATGCTACTTGTCTCTTTGGATTTACTTAATATGCTATATACACAAATTCCAGGATGAACAAATTCTGCATTAGTACTGCATTAACCTGAAAATTTATAATCTCAGGCAAGACAGTTGTAAACCAGAACCCAATGGCAACAAATGTACAACTGTGATATTCCTCCCCATGCAATCTTGCCTGGATGAATATAAATATTCTTGACAATAGAAAATAGAAAAAGAAAAACAAAGGACTCATGATGTCTTCAGTAAGGAATGGTTTTGCTCTCGCATCTGCTTTCCTGTTTTTCTTTCACTCTTTGGAATGACATGAAGTCCCCTTTTGTATAAGCTGCTGTATATCATTGTTGGAATCCCCCTAGCTTGGGTCATTATGATATTACATAAAGAAAGCAAGAGTCAAATGGCCACACACCCTCCTAACAGGGTCCCTAGGCAGGCTGCATTAAGAACAGTGCTGTACATGATCTGATAATTGTTTTAACTCCTACTAATTAATAATAACCCAACTCATTTAGTATGAGTCCTAGGAGAATTCTCTGTTGGTACTGCTCAAAGCTAAGTAGATTCTACACCATCTCCCTTTTTGAGATCATATATATATATATATTTTTTAATTGATAGTGCTGGCGTTAGTTTTAGACAATAGCAAAGCAGATCATTTTTGCCCTTACAATTTTGGCACAATTACACAAACCTAATAACATTTATGGTGGGTAAAAGTACTTTCCCCTACTACAGGATATTTTTAGGCCTTCAAATTTAATAAAAATATCATTGTTATACAGCTTATGCCACCAGCTCATCCCCCATACTTTCAAACTAAAACTTTTTAAACTAAAATGCGAGGCTAGGAATTTCTATCTCGCAGATTCCATGGTGTACTTACTTGAGGGCCCCAGCTTTAGTAGCTCAGATTTTAGAATTAATACCATGGTTCTGGGTTTTGAAATTGAAATGTGTGAGCCTAAACACAAAGGTGTGGAGGGGCAAGGGTAAAACGTCACTAACAGAAATATGATGTACATTTATGAGAATCTTAAATTTTCTGTAATCTAATTTGCATCAAAATGGATTTTGCAGAAAATGTGAAAAGGGGATTCTCTAATCTGCGAATTTAACATTCCAAGATTTTTTTCCTATTTGTGAGTGACCACTAAGGTCTATAGCGGGTTGCTACTTGTCACTGTGAATATCCAAGCTTTATCAGGCCGGCCAATGTAAGGGACGTAATTATCAAGCCTGGCTCTGCCACAGGTCCAGGATTTGCTTTTAAATGCAAATACGTTTTTCCCTACTTACCATGTTGATAACTCTGCTACCATCACTAAACAGTTTTGTTTCTTTGTGAAAAATGTCCCTGGATAGAAAGCCAAAGGCTAGAGTCGGTGACGTGATCCAGAAAGATGACGCTTTTTAGGCAAAAAAAAAAACCATAATAAATAAATAAAAAAGAAAAAGAAGAAGTGTCAGAAGAATTAGAGAGAAAATCTCAATATTAGTAGTTACTTAGGTCTGTGACAGGAATAAGTCAACCATATACTCTAAGCAGGGAAAATAAAATGCTAATGGGATATTTGAGGATGAAACTCATCTTTTGCCATATCAAGGGCATGTCAACTCTGTAGGTCACATTGCTTTTCCGAAAGTCAGATAATGGAACCAATATAACAAAACATCTTTGACCCAGTTTAATTGATGTGATTAATCAAGGAGGCTTGCTTATCCACTCAGCTCTGCATGCATTCATTCAGCGAGCATTTATTGAATCTGGGGTAATGAGCTGGGCACTGGAGTAGATTGGAATTCAATGTCAAACAAAACTCTTCTGAAGGAGGTTTTACAATCTAACGGGAAAAATAAAAATATGAAAAACCACTGAGGGGTATTAATGAAGTGTCAAATATACATAGAGAAGAAGCAAAGCGCTTCATTGGAGAAGAGGTGAAAAGATTTCATGGAGATAGTGTCTACATTTGAGTTTATAAAAAGATACTATTTGGTCACTTGGAGCTGGCAAGGAGCAGAGACCACCTCACATTTAGGAGACAGTGGAAGCAATGCTAAAGAAGCTCATTAGCATGAGGCCCTAGAGAAGAGGGACTTAGCTGAACTTGTGGTTCTAGAATATGACATCTCAGCTCAGACTTGGAAAAAGAAAAAGCATCACGTCAAGAGGGGTAAAAACGTGATATATTCTAAAAAGAGTTAATAACGTGATCAAAGACAGGGAGACATGAACCGATATGGTAGACCAGGAACTGGAAGCTGTTTAGTATTATTGGAGTGAAATGTGTGTGGAGTAGATCATGAAAGAAGAGTTTCTAGTTCTTTCCAACATCTTCTCATTTCAAACAATTCTTCTAGAAGCTATTCAAGAAGTCTGAGCCAAACTGTGACCTCTTCTGAGCTGTGCACAATTAAGGGTCAGTGAACTGGAGTCTTGGCAATGGAGTCTGCCTCTGCCATCAGACCGCAGCTTATGGGACAGCATGGTGGCTCTGGCTCCAGGACATGCACAGAGAAAGTCTTACCTCTGGCAGGTAAGGAATGTCTGAAAAGACCTAGTTCAGCACCTAGGACATGCATCTAGAAATGGACCTAGAGCTATAATACTGAGAGTCTTGGAAGCATTTTGCCCCCCAAAAGTAAGCCGAAGCTCCAAGGATCACAATGAGACCCTGGCCATGGCATGGGCAAGAGCACCCAATGAGGGCAGTGCAAGGGTGATCCCTTCTGAGGGTAAGCAGTAAAAGACTAATGATTTCTTGGGATCATGTTGGGCTAAAGAGAATCTTGAGGGCCAGGCGTGGTGGCTCACCCCTGTGATCCCAGCACTTTTGGAGGCTGAGGCAGGGGGATCACAAGGTCAGGAGATCAAGACCAGCCTGACCAACATGGTGAAACATCATCTCTATTAAAAATACAAAAATTAGTCAGGTGTGGTGGCGGGCGCCTATAGTCCCAGCTACTAAGGAGGCTGAGGCAGGAGAATCGCTTAAACCTGGGAGGCAGAGATTGCAGTGAGCCGAGATCGTGCCATTGCACTCCAGCCTGGGTGACGGAGCGAGACTCTGTCTCAAAAAAAAAAGAGAATCTTGAAATAAGAATCAAGGGATACTATGACTAGATTACTCCTGCTCCAACTTGGAAAAACAATTCTTCCATGGAAGCGTGAAAATTTAGGAAGATCTATAGTAGTGGTCTCTTGGTGGGGAGGTAATTAAGGAGGGTTGCTGGGGCACTAGAAATTCTCTATTTCAATATGGATGGGGGCTCCACGTGTGTGTGTGTGTGTGTGTGTGTCTGTGTGTGTGTATGTGTGTGTGTTTGTGTAAATTAGTCAAAACATAACACTTAAAATTTACTCACTGTACTCTATGTAAGCTATACCTTACTAAGCAGTAAAATTTGAGAAAGAAGAAACTAAAGATGAAGTATGCACAAGTCCTGGTTTTGAAACCTATGTTTGAGTTTGACGTAATTGATGAGTTCACCCCATAGGTACAGAATTCCTACTTTGTGTGAGGCACCATACCTTGGTATCAGTGGCTGTTTCTTTACATTTTGAATATGATCAAATTTTGCCACCTAATGATAAACCTTCTATGACCGTCCTCATTTAAAATAAAATGTGAAGCAAAAAAATTGTTCAAAGCGATTTCTATTAATAATTAAACTAATTCTAGAAGTGTTCTTCTTGTAGTTAATTTACAAATGCAGACAGAAACCAATATCGTTTTTCTCTGCTAGAGTGCTCCGTTTCATTTCTCTGAGGTCCTTCATTTTTGCCCCGGAAACACTCATTTAAATGCAGGTGTGAGGCTGCATAAGCTTCTTAGCAGTGACTCAGAGTGCTGACGGGCCCCTTTTTATGATTTTTCCAGACAGAGAGGAATGGTTCAGCATGTTAAGTAGCTACAAATGGTAGAATTCAGCTGTAAACCGCTGCTCCACATGATTGCCTGCTGCCTACATTTCTCCACCTTAAATGTCATGCTAATACACTGGAATTTTGTTTCTCCTTCTCTCACTTAGTTAAATGAAGGCAGATCCAAAGTTCAAAATGCAAAATTGAAAACTCTCCTTGAAAGCATTTTTGAGATTACTTGTAGGTATGCAGCAGGAAATGGGGGAGAATTACGTAATGATATTCCAGTAAGCTCAGGAATCAAAGGGACGTTCTCTGCTCAACGAAAGCACACAGATCATAAAGTTCTCTCATGTGTTTGTTAGCACATGGCATATGTACTGGAGATTATATGTTCATTCCATAGAAATTCTCCTGGGCTGACTGTGTTAGGTTAGATTCCCTTGAAGCAGAGCCTAAGATGAGGGTTTTTAAATAATTTATTTATTTTGTATTTTATGTTTTTTAAAAAAACTATTTAATGTCTTTTATTTTGTATTTTTAATTGCGATAAAATAGAAATAACATAAGAATTTATCACTTTTACCATTTTTAAGTTCAGCAGTGTTAAAGACATCCATGTTGTTGTACAATCATTGACAGTATCCATCCCCAGAACTCTTTTCACTCTGCATAATAGACACTCTGTACCCATTAAACAAAAACTCCTCATTCCTTCCTCTCCCTAGCCCCTGGCAACCACCATCCTACCTTCTGTTTCTATGAATTTGACTGCTCTATATGCATCATATGAATGGAATCAAACAGTATTTGTGTTTTTATGACAGGCTTTCTTTACTTAGCATAATATCTTCAAGGTTCATCAATGTAAGGTTCATCAATGTTGGAGCATGTGTTAGAATCATTTTCCTTTTCTTTTTTTTTTTTTTTGAGATGGAGTCTCACTCTGTCACCCAGGCTAGAGTGCAGCGGTGTGATCTCGGCTCACTGCAACTTCCACCTCCTGGATTCAAGCAATCCTCCTGCTTCTGCTTCCCAAGTAGCTGGGATTACAAGCATGTGCCACTATGTCCGGCTAATTTTTTGTATTTTTAGTAGAGAAAGAGTCTCACCATGTGGGCCAGGCTGGTCTGGAACTCCTAGCCTCAAGTGATCTGCCTGCCTTGGCCTCCCAAAGTTCTGGGATTACAGGCATGAGCCACCTCGCCCAGCCAATTTTTCTTTTTAAGGCCAAATAATATTACATTGTATGGATATACTCCATTTTGTTTATCCACTCATCCATCAATGGATATTTGGGTTGCTTCTACTTTTGGCTATTATTAATATGAACATAAGGCAGGGATTCATTGAGAGAAGCTCTCAGGGGAAACAGATGAGGGAATAAGGGAAGCAATATAGGGAAGCAGAGGCAGCTAGGCAAGGACGTAGTTACAGCTGGAGACTGGTCTCAGCCTGATCCTGGAGAGTTCTGGAGTATGAATGGTACCACGGTGCTGTCCCAACTTAGGGTAAAAAGCCTGACCTTTGACACCACTCTATGAGTCAATCATGGGCTACGGGCCACTATTGGGTGTAGGGCGTTACCTCCCAGGTATTCCAGCCACGGCAACTCCTGTTGGCTGAGGACAATTCCTAGAAAAAGGGGTGCCTGTGAGTTGTTAGCTGCCAACACTCACAGCACCTGGGGGATAAGTGCACTCCCTAGGTAAAGGGATGCAGGGTGAGGTACCAATAGCATCTACATTGGGCTATCCCCACAATATAATGTCTTCCAAACCTTTTCAACTCAGCTTATGGCAGAGGTGTCCTGGTAAATGTTTAACAACCAGTTCTGGGGTTGGGGATAGGGGAGAGAAGCTCTAATATGTAGAACTTGCTAATTTCCATAGTGTCAATTCTCCCACCATGGCCAACTGCAACCTATTCGCATGACTCAGCAAATGTAGAGTTGTGAAGAAATGAGTAAAATCAGCTCTTGTGAGCTGGTGTGAATTGGTTCTCGCACAACACTGGTTTACAGAATTTATACTTTCTTGCCTACTCTGGCCAATTTGGATTCATTTTCCATACAACTGAATGGTAGTTGAGATACAGAGGTTCGGAGGAATACAAACTTCTGAATTCAGAGTAGAAATACTCAATAGCTATTCTTTGCAGGTGGTAAGGTATAGCAGGCTTAGGATGACCAACCATCCTGGTTTGCCTGGAACTCTCTTGGTATTGGCATTGACAGTCCTTCATGCATCCCAAGAAACTCCTCAGTCCTGGGCAAACCTGGATAGTGAGTCACTCTAGCAGAACCCACAAAGTGCTACATGTTTAATACTTTACCTTCCTGATTTCCCATAGTAACTGTTGCCTATGTCAAACCTTGTAACATTTAGCTCTATTCTAATTAAAAACTTCATCTCACAGTCATCTTGAACTCAGGACATCCAAAATTGTCCCATACTTGTTCCTTATAACCTGTTCTGAACCACCCCAAGCAAGATTTCAAATGTCATCCTAGGTTCACTTTTCACCTTCACCTCCTATATCCAAATGGTCGCCAAGTCACTTCTGGTTATAACCACTGGACAGAACTAATCACAGGGCTCCAGTCTAACTGCAAAGAGAACTAGGAAGTACGGGGGAGCATTGGAACATTTAAGTAGCACAGCGTTCTCAGCTACATGAATACATCCTAGGTGCCAGGCCCTAGGTGCTGGGGTACAGATTGTGAAAAAGATGGATAGAATTCCTACCCTCAGAGAACTTAAAGTCCTTCATAGCAAAGCCTGAATAACCTTTTAAGCAGGCAGGTTGTTTATATTATTTCTCTGCTTAAGACTCATGAATTGTTCCTTATTGTTAGTGGGGTAAAGCCCTAACTCCTTAGTACAGACTTTGAGCTCCTCCTTGATCACAACCTGCTTCTGGATTAGCCTAATGTCTTACCACTTTCCCACACACACCCCAGTTCCTGGTTGTAAAGGAAATGTTTGTAGCTTCTTATGACACTTTAATTCCTGACTCTGTGCCTTTGCACATACAGTTCCCTTTGCCCGAAGTGTCACCTACAGCCCTGTGTCAAACTCATCCTTGAAGGCCCACCTTGATGATCTCCTCCCTGAAGCTTTCTGACTAATTCCAACAGAGTTGACTGCTCACCATAGCTCAATCATTTGTTTTCATATAATTTGTGCTCATTAAACTATGAGTTCCTTGAAAGCATAAATGGCATTTGACTGAAATCCCCCAGCACCTATCATAGTGCCTAGCACCCAGTAGTTGTGCAGTAAATCATTATTAAAGCATATTAAGTTCACATTGCCTTCTATTTCTCTCTTATTGCTTCCCCTGCAAAAATTCCACAAATTCAGGAAACACGCCATGTATTTTTCCCACATATTTAGCAGAACGCTAAGAAGGTCCTACATCAATCAATGTTGATCATTGGAAAGAAAACCCTCGAAAGAGGACAGTATAGCAAGAAGTTAACACTGCAAACTTTATATAAGACTGAGGATTCCTTTAAAAATATTTTGAGATTTTTGTGGTCATTGTATCATTATCACAGCGTAACTACATGACTTTAAGTACAGTGCAACTCCCTTAACTTTTCTCTCTAAGAACAGTAATATATTATTGCCTTAGGAGTGTATTTTTGAAGGGAAGGTTGTATTAGTCATGCCTTTTTATTTTCTGTATTTTTGATGCTTTGACATGTGGGGCCACCCCAGTTTGGAGTTCGCTGACACTGGAAGCACTGCCCCACTGAGGGCTAGCTAATTCCTGGAGACAGTGAACAAGGACAACACCTGTCATATACAAACTAACCAATCCAGAGCCCACATACCCACCACCTTCTCATTAGGCTGTCATACTCAGGGCCAATATTCTACTGCTCCATCACCCAGGGCCAGGTACCAGACAATAGAGAGAGCTCCTACACCCCAGAGCCTGCTGAAATTATTCAAACAAGCCAATCCTAAGCCTGCCTTACATTACCTTGCCTATTTGTTCCTGTGGAAACAACAATAAAAGACCTTGCTCACATTTTTCCCCTTGCTCCCTCTGTCTCCTGATGATCCTGGTGCTTCCCTATGTGGGCCCCTGTGGCACGGCATGCTCCCTCCATACATAATCCTAGAGAACCCAATATAAGGCCAGCTAGACTCTTCTATAGTCACCTGGTTCTTAGTGTAGGAAAAAAAAATGAAGACAGAATGGTTCAAACTTTCTCAGCATTTTGTGGGAAAAATACATTGTATTTTTAATTTAATTTGATATCACATCCTATGAATGGGACCTACTCAAAGTCTTTCTAGTCATTGTCCATATGCTTCTATACTTAGGATTAATAAGAAGCAATTATATTTGAATATTGAGAAATCAAGGTGTATCAGTTAGGTATTTTCATACTAATGCCATGTAACGAACTAACCCAACATGTAGAGGCTTGGAACAATAAGTAGTTGTTTAGCTTACGCTTGTATGGGTAGACTGCATGGTCGTGCTTGCCTTGACTGAGCCTGCTCACATGTGTGAAGGTAGACTTGCTGTTGGCTTATCTAGGGTTGCCTTGGTTGAGACAACTGTGGATACTCAGCTCTAGCCCATGTGATTCCTCCTCTGGCCGGATAGCCTGGGCCTATCCTTCTCATGGCAGTGTCAGAGGACAACCCTAAGAGCAAGCCCAATTGCACAACTGCTTTTTATTTCTCTGTAGATGTGACATTTGCCAACATCTCATTTGCAATGTGTCACATTGCTGAGTAGAAGGCAATTATAAAGTTACATGTCTAAGGGCATGGATCCAGGGAGGTAGTAATGATGAAGAATTGGGGCCAATAATGCAATCAGTCTTCTGGCGAAGTAAATAGCAGCAAGTATAACTTAAAGAAAAAGAAGTGCTCTGAAAACAAACAAGATTAATATTCTATCATCTGTTATAATGCTTGAGAATCCAGATGTACATTTATTAAGTAATTTGTAATGAATCAGTATTTATTCCTATCAAGATGTGACTGCCATCAGAAATTTACTCGGGTCTGTATATGAATATCCATTTTGTTATTAACATACTCACTTGTGATCATATATGATGACTTAACGTAGAGTTTGAATTATTGCTTCAAGTTCTACTGGAAGGTAATAAGAAAAGCTGTAATTTATTTCTCAGGAATCCAGGTCAAGGCTGAGTTCTTTTGTAATGACCCCGAATGGTAATGGACAAACACTAAATATGCAGTGTTTACAAAGCCCAGAGAAATAATTGGGGGAACAAGCACAGGCTGTTTCCCTAAGAATTCCATCTATCGTCTGTACTCTGGATAGTCCTTTAAACAGTATTGGTTAGGACTATTCTTTGCACAGAGCTTTTCATCTTTAATATGTTTACTCTTCTTGCAAATAACTCACATGTGTTCTCCATCACAACTTCCAGTTATGGCCCTTGTGGTCACTCAACACTCATCCTTTATATTCCATTTCTTACTTAGGAGAGGTTACTTTTTATTAATTCATTTTTATGAGTCAACAGCTTTGTTTCCTTCACTCATTGTGCTTTAAAAGATCAAGGACTGTTGAGAGTTGATCATTTACAACCTTCACACACTGAAAAACTGCTTTAATTGCCCTGGAGAGAATGTATTATACAGAAGTGGTTATCTCATGCCCATCCAAAGGAAGTTGGCTCACTCAGCAAAAATATTAATTAATGGCAGGTATATTATGTGCCAAATACTGGGTTGGTGTCTGAAAGACACACACAAAAGTTTGCATAGTCCTTATTCTTAATAAGGTATTAAGCAGTGAAGACAAAGGAATGAGTATACCAAAAATAAATTACAAAGGCTTACAGAGGTTAGGATTATGAGTTAATTGCTAGTAAGTTTTATTAGAACAGAGATGAAAGAGATCCCTATGGGCTGAAGGCATCAGGCTTATTAGTTACAGAAGCAATTTTTTTAGGCTTGTTTACAAAGGTGGAGGCTCCACAGCTCACACGCACAGACCCAGTTATAATGAGAATCTGGTATACAGAAAAGGACAAATGGTTTTCAGAAGAAAACCTAATATGGGAAGCATTATAAGTGCCTTGGCATTTTAACATTGAAAACAAAATCAAAAGAGGAAGACAGAAAGGGGAGAAAAATAAAGGCATTGATAATCTAATAATTAGCACAGAAAAGAGAACTGGCATGGTTTATTGCCCATGGATTTACCTCTAGCATGGTTTACTGTCCATGGATTTATCTCTAGCTTTTAAAATTTATTTTAAAACATGTTTTAAATGTAAGTTCTCATTAGATCTCTTAAGTGCCAAGACTTATAAACTAAACTAGGACACATATCGTGGGGGAATTATTAATATTTTGATTTTTTAGTTTTGCCAGTTAAGATTGCTTAAGTTAGAAGGTCATCAAGGAAAATGTGAAATGCTTTTATGATTCAACATTGTTATTTTCAAGATTCTTTTTTTTTTTTTTTTTTTGAGACAGGGTCTCGCTCTGTTGCCCAGGCTGGAGTGCAGTGGCACGACCTCGGCTCACTGCAAGCTCCGCCTCCCGGGTTCACGCCATTCTCCTGCCTCAGCCTCCGGAGTAGCTGGGATTACAGGTGCCCGCCACCACGCCCAGCTAATTTTTTTTTTTTTTTGTATTTTTAATAGAGACGGGGTTTCACCATGTTAGCCAGGATGGTCTCGATCTCCCAACCTCGTGATCCGCCCGCCTCAGCCTCCCAAAGTGCTGGGATTACAGGCTTGGGCCACCGCATCCGGCCTCAAGACTCTTAAAAAGTATTTATCTTTTGTATGTCTACAAATAATACATGACTTGATTGTTGGTTTTTTATTAATGCAACTTGTCGTCAAACTCACATTCTTTCTCCCTCTGCTCTTCTCTTGAGGTTCTCTACTCCCTTTTCATGACCTGGCTCTACAGGATTAAGGTCAGCTCTCTAATATTACCTCTGTACCTCCTTCCATGCACTCGGTTTGCCCCTTATCTCAAATGCAGGTCTCACCATCACACGTAGACTTGAAAAACTCATAGAAATGTAGGTAATGTATGAATTATTGTGTAGTTAATCATTAAATTGATGGCTACAACTTAAAAATATTATGTTTTAATATCTTACAATATAAAACAATGGCATGAAACACAATCCCACATTTAACTTAATTCCAGCTAGATAAAAGACAAATGAATGCTTAAAAATACTACTAGGAGAGATTCCAGGAAATTAACTTGGGTTGCCTTTGGAAAGAGAGATGAGTAACAAATTATATTCTGATTCTGTTTCTTTATAAAATACATATTCCCAAAATATTTCTAGGATGAGCTTAGATTTTTAGTTATATATAAAGAGAGACTATGTGTATATGTATATTTACACTAAAAACTGGAAATAATAAATTTAAATGATTGTATGGAAATATGTCAGTGTGAAATGTTATCTCCAAACCTTTTGCTAAAATGAACAGGAGACAGATTCTTAAACTATATTTAGAATTAGGAATGTCTGATCAGAGTGTCTTTCTTCTCCTTGGTCTTTTATTTATGGCTTTACAGTTTGTTCATCCCAGACTGGAAGAATTTCATCAATAACAAAAATGGGCTCCAAGGAATGGCTTTCACAGCATAGCACAGTCCCCAAACTCCTAAATAGTGTTCCTTTATTAAGATATAAAATCAGGTTAAGTGCTTCAGGAGGACAGACTAAACTACCACTTTTAATGAAAATTAGGCAGAAATACCCACCAATTATTAGAAGGTTTTTTTCAATTATTAATTTGATGACCTGGGAAATAATTTACAAATTTAAAACAGAAATTATATTTTCTAAGCAATTTTATAGAAGCTTATTGCAGTTTATTTGAACATGTGAGTATGTATGATTTTAATTGAGATATTTTAACTGTGTTTTTATAAATTGGTCTAGAGTACTTATGACTTAGTTAATTTGCAAATGTTTGAAGGCTGAGTGAGTTCCATGAAAAGGTTTTATTTCTTACTGAGTTTGATCAATCAGTTTAAAATGGTGACTGATTTACATCTCCAAGCTCGTTACTTATATAAAACAAAGGGACAAAAGAAGTAGCATAGACCACAATCTCTGATGGTAGAGTGGATATCAACTCTTACGTGATGTTAATCCAAACGGAAATCCAATCAAGATTATTTCAGATTGCAAGATGATTTCACGCTGAAGTTGAATCCAGCCTTACAGTGCAAACAAATCAGATCAATGGGAATCCCTCTGTTAGCACTCTTCGGTGAGGTGAGAAACAGCCAGGAATTTTCCCACTTACAGTGAAATAAACCTGTCCACCAAAACCCTAGAGCGGGGGAATTCATCTCTAAATAAAGTGCTAAGGCAGGGTCATTGCCTGATTCTTGTCTAGTTCAAAGGACAAAAGGAACGTTCTGTCCACTTCGCATGATGCTCCTTTGCCAAATTTATGTCTAAGTCAGGAAAGAAAATGCAAGAGTCATATGGGCTCTGTCTATGCACAGACATTTTCTGTGGGCACAATAATAATCTTCCACGGTGAAGGGAAAACTCCTGTTGGAATGTTGATGCTGTCTAGTCTAGTGCCTATATCTGTTTCTGAGTCTGGCTGGGGCTAAGTATAAGCTAAGAAGTTTCCATTTGAAATGCTTCACTTGAATGTCTCAGACAGCTATTTTCTTTCTCTCTGTCTAAATATTTGAAGACACATTTTACTCATGTTCATCAAACTCACATATTAATACATCAAGATGTCCAATTTCTCTACTGCATCTGTGCACCCTTGAGCAAGTCACTAAGTATCACTGAGCCTCCATGTCCTTATAAGCCAATCTATGGGTTGGACTAAATGGATGATTTCCTAAGGGGGAATTGGAGGTCCTCATTTGGATTAGTGTCAGAAACAAGTACAGAGGGAGCTTTGTTTTAACGACTATTGTCCCTTCCATACCGATTACAGGCCTCTGTTGATTCCCCAGCTGTGTCTCTCTTTACCATCTTATTGAATTTGGACTCGACTTCTAACTATCAGCCTTTATATCTTTTCTGTTGAAGTGATTTTTCCATGGCCAGAGCCTGCTTAAGGCCTAACAGGCTGGAAGTGCAAGAGAGTTGATGTCTCCTGGAAACAACCATCAACCAATGACTCAAGAAAGTTGGTGGATAAATATCCCAGCTCCCTTGCACCTCCAGTGGGGAAACTCTGAGGCTTGTATTTGATCATGCCTCCCAGTTTCCAGTGGGATTGACTCTGGTTGCCCACAGTAGTAATGGCTTGATAACATATCCTTTATTGACTACATCACTTCCCTTCCTCCCTTCGACATACTTCTAATGCTGTTCCCTGGGAACTTCTTCAAAATAAACGATTTTCATTCAAGTCCTTGACTCAGGACCTACATGTGATGAAACTGATTAAGAATAATAAACACTTAGTATTTCTGTTTTTTTCTGTGACTAAAATTCCATGATCCTCAGATACCCTCTTCTTAAACACAGCATTTTTTTGTTTTGTTTTGAGAAGGAGTCTCGCTCTGTCACCCAGGCTGGAGTGCAGTGGCATGATCTTGGCTCAGTGCAACCTCTGCCTCTTGTCTTCAAGCAATTCCCCTGCCACAGCCTCCAGAGTAGCTGGGATTACAGGTGCTCGCCACCATGCCTGGCTAATTTTTGTATTTTTAATAGAGATGGGGTTTCACCCATATTGGTTGGTCTTGAACTCCTGACTTCAGGTGATCCGCCTGCCTCAGCCTCCCAAAGTGCTGGGATCACAGGCATAAGCCACTATGCCAGGCCAACCACAGCATTTTAAATAAGATTGTTCTTTGGCCTTGATTCCTTCTCTTTTGCTGTGTAAACTAATTGCTGGAAACTTTTGAGCTCTAATTTGTATGTTTCAAACACAAAGTAGTCTTTAAAAACAAAGTCATAAAGAAAACCTTAAAAAAATCTACATTTATCTTTTTTTCCCTTTTGCACAATGTCCATCAGCTGCTAGCTGCAAAAATGTAAATGTGTAATTACCCTGAAATAACAGACTTACAGAAGCATGGAATTCTTGGCCTTTTGTTCTGTTTTCATTTGTTCATGGCCTGAAAGCCATGAAGGAAACTATCACTGTAATCACCCACTGATACTCCAAAGTCCTGCTTGGAGAGAAGCAAGAAACCAGAAGGAAAAAGCTCTTTATGCCTTTGGGAGCTCAGAGTAAATCTTGATTAACAGAGATCAAAGTGAAAGCCAAAGTCATTTAGAACTTGGTCTTTTTACAGAGAGGTCAGAAGGATCATTTGGCCAGAGTCTCACACTTTGAATTAGAATGTGAATAATTGGGACCTCTTGTCCCTGTTGATGGTAGTAGCATGACAAACTGCTTTGCAAAACAGAGGTATGTGTATATACTAAACACTCATGAATATATAGTTTACAATAGGTTCAGAGAATGGAATAGTATGCAGCATTGAAAATAATTGCTGCCAAACATATTGACATCATTCCCTTGATACCCCATCCTTCGGCAAACACAGCACCATTTCTCTGTTCCATTTCCTAGTTAAAGTTCTTGAAAAAGTTGTCAACATTGCTGTCTCCTTTCTCACCATTCATTATCTCCTGAATATTCACTTGAATGTTTGTCCTCCTTTTTCTAGAGAGGCTGTATTCACCAAGGTCACCAATGACCCCTATGTTGGCAAATCCAATAATGACATTTCCTTTCTCATCTTGCTTGACATCTCAGTAGCTTTCAAGATAAGTGATCATATCCCTCTACTTTAACTATTGTCTTCTAATGGGTTTTAGAATTTTGGACTTTCCTGCTATCCTCCTACTTTTCTGGCCATTCCTTCTCAATATACTTTTCAGGTCCACGGCATTTTGTGTTACTGGAGTGTCTAGGATTCTTTTCTGAGAAATTTTCTTCATCTGCACACTCCCTGTAGGTGGTCTCACCCTGTCTATGCCCTAAATATTAAATATATAAATACTAATAATTCCCAAGCCTACATCTCCAAAAATGACCTTTCACCAGCTCTCCCGACTTCAATATCTATTTTTTACACATTTCCACATGAATGCAGGGCCAGCTTCATGAGTGTGAGGCCTCTGCAGTCACACAGGGCCCAGTACTCAGAAGGACCCATGCTTAGTTTAATGTTCTGCAGTCATTGTCCTGAAATTCTCCATCATTTTATCTTTGAGCTTGTGTTTTGTAACTGAAGTCTGATCGAACAATGGAGAATGCACATAAGCAGAGGAGATATGTGCAAGATACATGTCCATTGTTCTTTGCTGCCCTGCTCACATATTGAATTTGCAATGCTCGGGTGCACAGAATGTCCATGGATCCACAATGAGAGTTCAATGAGGCTCAAACCAACTACATGATAAAAGTGTTACATCTCCAGGTTCTCACATCTATGAAAAGTCATGCTTTCCATTAGAATCAGAACTTGCTTCAAATGCAGAAATAGCATTCTAAAACATGAAACACCAATAATCCTAATCATTATGTGTTATTTCTATTAGCCAACCATTACACTGAATATAATGACATAGAAAAAGTGAGAAAGATGGAACAACCCAGAGTTCCCCTTCTTTCCAGTCCTTCCTTTCTCATAAGTAAGCTGAAGGTACAGAAGGCTGGTAGGGTGTTCATGTATCAAGAAGTAAAATAAAAACAATGATACTAGTTTTGTACAGTAGTTCCTCTATCTTGATAAGAACAAAAAACATAGGCATGTACTATCTATGAAATGTGAATTGTATAATTTTTGTGATTCTGTATATAAATTAAATGATTAAAATGGCATTTTATTTGCTGAAAATAGCATTGCACAATGTAAGAATGAATGTTAAAACTCGTAATAAACAATTTTAATTTTTTTTTACTTAGAATGACATTAAATAGTAATTTTTAAAAAAATACCATTACCAGTCAAGAGAGAGATTGCAGAAGAAAGAAAAGTGTTCTATTTTAGTATCTTTATTGGCACTTCCCCCATTGCTTTTTGGAAAAGGGCCCCTCAGTTTCACTTTTGGAGTGTGCCAGCAAATATGTAATCAGCCCTAATGACTAACAGACACCCCGAGCTTTAAATGTCCATAAAGTGTTCTTAGTTCTTCCCTTTCTTTCCAAATCTTCCCTCGTTTTCCTCATCTTGGTCACAGCCCATCAACCCACCAGTTGCTCACATAAAATAATTGAGTTAGCCTTTATTCCATGACTTTCTCCATCAGTAGGACATAGGGCATTATCTCCACACAGTATACATCAGGCCTTCCATTCCTCTCAATCCTCTATTACTCTTTAGTTCAAGTCGTCACCATCTCTTGCCTAGACAAGTACAGGCCTGAATTTCCTGTTGTCTCTCCACAAGCCATCTTATAAACCATCCTCAAACAGATCCTTTATTTTTTATTTATTATTTTTTTTTGAGACGGAGTATCACTTGGTCACCCCGGCTGGAATGCAGTGGCATGATCTCAGCTCACTGCAGCCTCTGTCTCCCGAGTTCAAGTGATTCTCCTGCCTCAGCTTCCCGAGTAGCTGGGATCACAGGTGTGTGGCACCACGCCCATCTAATTTTTGTCTTTTTGGTAGAGATGGAGTGTCACCATGTTGGCTAGGTTGGTCTTGAACTCCTGACCTCAAGTCATCCCTCTGTCCCAGCCTCCCAAAGTGCTGGGATAGGGATTACAGGCGTGAGCCACCATGCCTGGCCTCCCAAACAGATTTCTAAAAAACACAAATAGGTATTTCCCTTTTTCTACTAAAAACATTCAAATGAGTCTCCTTGCTCTTTGCATGACACCCAAATTCCAACCATTGTCTCCACAGTTTTACATGACCTGGTGCCTACATACCATTCCACACTCTCTTTATTCCATTCCACTTTTCATACACCATGGCTCTGCTTCACAGGACTTGTGATTTCTCCAAAATCCCAGGATTACTTTGACTTTAAAGCCCTTTTGTACTAATGAGCTTTCTTCTCTGTGTGCTCCAGACCCCTGATCTTTGCCTGGATGGCTCTTCTTTTCATACAGATCTCAGCTTAAATGTCTCCTCCTCAAAGAGTCCTCCTCTAACCACTCAAAAGAAAACAAAATACACCTGGTTACTCCAACTGGCACCTTGCTTTAGTTACTTCATACCATTTTTCCTGATCATGAACTCATTTGCTTATTGCCTGTCTTCCTTCACTGGGATTTCAGCTCCGTGAGATCAGGGACCTTAACTGTCTTATTTATTGTTGTTTCTGGGGTCTCTAAGATAGTGTCTGGAACAAAGTAGGTGTCAGCTGCGTGAGATCAGGGACCTTAACTGTCTTATTTATTGTTGTTTCTGGGGTCTCTAAGATAGTGTCTGGAACAAAGTAGGTGTCAGCTGAATGAGTAAATAAAAAAATTAATCAGCGTGGTAAGTGCAGTTGTGTTTCCTCTGTTGATGGGTGTGTTCGTATATATGTATCTTTACATATATGCACCCACATGCAAAAACGACATATATACCTATATATATTCATATATTACCGTAGATATTGGCATTGTCTCCTCTTCACCCACTCTCTACCTTCCTCACTGGGTGGAAGCCACAGACTTAGAGGGGAATTGACTCCACCACTGTTGCAGAGGGGTGCCCTGATCTGCTTACAACCAATCTTATCCCCCAGCCACAGTTTTGGGTTCACCGACAGGCTTGTAGCTGATAGTAAGATGACCTCTGAAATTTTGTTCAATGGTTGAGGGATAAAAGCCCTCATTCTGACCCTCAGTGTGAGCATGGAAGCATCTAGTTTCTAGTTCTAGTTTCTGTTGGCATCAAAATGACAACCAAGAGGACAGCCTGCTTTGGCATGAAGCAAACATTAAGGAAGAGTGAAGAGAAACAACCAGACCTTTAATGACCTGGTTGAGCTGCTGGCTGGTTCAAACCTGAAGCCCAACCCTTGGGCTTTCTAGTTACACAGTTACATGAAGAAATATATTTCATTGCTCAAGCCAGTGAGAGTTGGATTTTCTGTTCCTTGCAAATAAAACATTGTAATTGACACTGGTAGTAAATTTTAATCACTATTAGCCTTTTGGATGTATTTCCTTCCAGTAGTTTTTAATGCTGTTGAAAAATAAGATAGCTGCAACTGGAATGCATGTATACTTTTGTGCATCATTTTTCTACTTATTGTTACAGTATAAGCATTTATTTTCATGCTAATACTTACCTTAACAACCCTAATCTTATTGATTATAAAAATATCAGTGATTGCATACACTATAATCTACTTAATCATTTCCCTATTTTTGTGGACACATAGGATATTGTCACTCTCTTCAAGTTTTATTTCGTTTCTTTCATACTTATATCCTAGAAATTTAATCATTAGGTCAGTGTATGTGAACATTGATTTACCTATTGAAACACAATGCCAAGTGGCTTTTAAAAATAATATTCTTAGTACCAACAGTACCCTGCCATATTAGGCTTTATCACAGTTTTATAAAAATTTGATAATTAAATACCCCTCAATTTGGATTAATCCTGTTTTAATTTCTGATTACTAGACAGTTTGGATAATTTCTGATATGTATTTTACTATTAACATTTATCTTTTGGGGAAATACTTGTTTACTTTGTAGTTGGATTTTAGAGACAGCTTTTCACCGTGGCAGATGTAGTCAGTGTCCTGGCAATATTTTCTGAGTTCCCATCATTCCTACGATGACTTTCGAGGCAAACAACTGAAGCTTTCTGCCTAAAGGCACTCTTGCTGGTGTCCAGTAGGCCCAAGTATGGGATGAGCAGCAGTGGTTGAATGAAAGAGCATTTCAAGGGAGAGCTCCCTTACAAACCAGATGCATCCATCAATCAAAACCTGTTGGTGGATAACTACCTCTGCTCCCTTGCCCCTCATGTGGGATAACAGTAAGATCTGTGTTATAACCTCTCATCCCCAATACTCCAGTGGGATTAGCTTCCAGTTGTCCACAATAGTAACCTGCTTGTTAACTCACACCATATTGGCTGCCTTGCTGCCTTTCCTTCTCTCTATTTCTCCCCGCTGTACTGGTGCTTGTTGACATCACCTTCCAGATAAACTCTTTGTACCCAAAAGTGTCTCTCAGTCTTTGGTTCTAGAGAATCCACCTTAAGAGAGCCATCAAATGAGATTTACTTTAGTGCAATGACTTAGGTGCTTAAGAATACTTGCTGAACATTTGAATTCTTCCCTACTCTGTGTAAAGAAAAAAAAAAATTCAAAATAAAGCAGTTCACTTTTCTTTGGAAATAAGCAGGAATATTTGATACAGTGTACACTGGTCTTTTAAAACTCTTAAAACACTTTCAATAAAAGGGAGCAAAAATAACTAATGATTTTTATGACTTTTAAGCTAAAAGGAATATTTATTCATTCTATATGTGGATTCAGAACTTTGTTTTTCCTTCTGTGGGGTACTTCATGGAGCTTTTGAAAAGTACAAATTTTTTTCTCCACAGGCTTTAATCATTATGCTTTAAGGAAATCTTTTGAAATGAAGGCAGCATATGTTGCAATAACTAGGCCCTT
Source organism: Homo sapiens (assembly GCF_000001405.40). Taxonomy (NCBI): domain Eukaryota; kingdom Metazoa; phylum Chordata; class Mammalia; order Primates; family Hominidae; genus Homo; species Homo sapiens. The sequence continues at coordinate 8,568,349 of NC_000020.11, read as the reverse complement.
TCATTAAATTCATCCCTTAAGAAAAGCCCACGCAGTAACTGATTTTTGACCTCTGTTCAAATAGAACTTTGGCTAGAAAATTCTCAGAGGTAAAATACCAACAGCAATAGGAATGTTTCATATTTTAAAGTTTTCCAGTAACCACAATACACTTTATCCAGCATATATTTGGTTTGGGCTGTTTGAAGTTCACTTGAAGTTTAGACGGTGTTTTAAAGATTGCATGAATACCCTGTTTTCCAAGAATACATGACCCATTTTAAGGATTGATAATACAAGAAGAAATTCTTCTTTTAAAGAAAAATGTGTTGCTAAGACAATATCACAACTATATATCAATGTCCTTTCAAAACACTGCATTTTAGAACTTCTGACTTCTTCAGATTTCCAATTTGGTTATGAGATCTGAAAACTTAACTGATAATAGATTCCCTTTAAAGTATAAATTGACTTCAAAGTCACAGCTTTAGTTGCTAAGTCGCAATTTCTAAGTCATGTCTTTAAAAATTTTTAACAACTTCAAATGGACATTTCAACATTGGTTGCTTTTAAGTAGAGAAGGAACATACCACCTACTAATGATTTTTTTAAAGTATTTATTTATTTATGTGTTTTAGAGTTGGAGTCTTGCTATGTTGCCCAGGCTAGAGTGCAGTGGCTATTCACAGGCACCATCCCACTACTGATCAGCAATGAAGTTTCGACTACTAATGATTATTGCTAACCTATGTTAAATTAAAGTTTCTGATGCATGCCAGTGACATTGGTTTTATATGCATGATGATGTTCACTCAAAATAATTGGAATTTTGGAGGGAAGATTTTTCCCATTACTATTTTAGAGAGATTTTCCATCAAGATCTTGATGTATTGGAGAATACTAAACTTATGAACATCATGTTCCCAGGCATTGGGTTGTCCACAGGGGAGAATGAAGTGAAGACTTGGGTATCCGGATAATTTAGGCTAAAAACTGTTAGTGGTCAAGTAGAAGGGGTTCAAGACAGAGGGGGAAATGGAATTAAATTGCCACAGACCTGTATCAGAGTCAACATTTTAGCACCCCTCCGCTTTTAACTTTAAGTTAAAACTCTAGTACTTGCTCCCAAACTTGGCCCATCGTCCCTGGAGCTCAAGTTCTGGAACACACAAATCAAGAGGCTGCTGCAGAAGTCCGTGACATTTTAACTGGCTGAAAGTGCTACTGCTTTGCAGTGTTTGTGAGGCCAGTGCCCAGGCCAATATCACACAATGGCCTGAGATGCCAGTAGTGCTCTCATTGAGAAAAATTAGATGTGATCTGATCAAGTTATTCAGCTAACTGACTCAGGATCAGAATTACGAGTTCTGTTATATTTCCTTCTACCTTGCAATTCTGGATTAATTTGCTATTGCATACCAACACAAGGAACCCTCAAGAACAAATGACACCTAGCAAAATTATAGTATCAATATATTCTTTTGCCAGTAGGGTCACAGAATAAATCATCTTCTGTTGATGCTGTATGTCATGAATGTGTAGTTTGAAAAAAAAAAAAAAAAGAAGTGATTTATAATCTCAAGATAGCTCAAGCTAAGTAACCGAAGTGCAGAAAACCTAAAACAGACTTCACCACCTGTAAGTACTATAGATATGTAGCCATATATCATAGCCAGTTAAGCACTAAATTTATGTTACAACACCAGGAACATTCCAAGGAAATTCAATAATATCTATTTATTAAATTCAGTGCTATGATTACCAACCAAGCAAAACAAAGCTGGAACATATTCCATGGAAAATCTAACTGCTCAAAAGATGCCCAACAGAAATGTTATGTTTATTTGGTGATATTTAAATGATGATCATCCTCTCATTCATATTCACATGCTTCCTAAAAAATGTTGTTTTTTACATTCCACAGGATAAGTCACACTTCATTTCTCAGCTCTGTTCGACTTTGAAGGTGCTAGAATATCTGTTATCCTGCTTATTAGAAACAATCAACTTTTTGACAAGGTAAACACTAGGTTCACATGCTGAAAACCCGATAGAAACTGAGATGATTCGTCCACCCATTCACTTGCTACATTAAGCAAATATTTTTAATATTTAATGATTGTTTCCACCTGTTGATAAGGCACAATTTTCATCTGAAGTAAGCACAATACCTAAGTAGATAGTAGCCTGTTGTAAGGCAGTCAAATATACTTTGTAAAATTGCACATAGTTTGGGGTCTTAGAACTAATTTTTAAAATTTAAAAGCGATGATTTAAAAATTCCTACATCATACTTTAATTATATAATTGATAGCAAATACATAATGAGATGAAACTTTTGAACTGTTGATTTTTTTAATATATAATGATTAATTTTCCTTCACAGGGAATAAATTCAGAAGAGGAATCCAGCGCTGCTGTGGTGGCTTTAGTCACTAGTGCACACACTTCTTGTAAATTTCTGCTCTCCCATCCTTAGCAATGACATCCAAATGCAAATTTGCCTAAATCCAGTCCAAAATGGCAGTTGGAACCTCAATCTTCACCTCCGTTTTGCAGGTATCATGAAGGAGGAAATGACTGAGGACAAAACACAGGTTCTGGGGTCTATATCCTCTTGAGAAAAAAAATCTTCCTTAAAGTCCTACCTTGCCACTTTTACTTACACCACATTAGTCAGAATTAGTCACATGGCTACTCCAGTCTTCTAGCTGGTTACATTTCCAGAGAAAGGAGAGGAAAGCTGTTGGTTAAACAGATATACCATATATTTCTGTTTGCCTATTCAGACCCACTTTCTTTTTTTTATTTTTTATTATACTTTAAGTTCTTTATTATATAATACTTTATTATATTTAAAGTATAATAAAGTTTATTATACTTTAAGTTTTTATTATACTTTAAGTACATGCGCAGAATGTGCAGGTTTGTTACATAGGTATACACGTGCCATGGTGGTTTGCTGCACCCATCAACATGTCATCTACATGAGGTATTTCTCCTAATGATATCCATGCCCTAACCCCCCAACCACTGACAGGCCCCAGTGTGTGATGTTCCCCTTCCTGTGTCCGTGTGTTCTCATTGTTCAACTCCCACTTATGAGTGAGAACATGTGGTGTTTGGTTTTCTGTTCTTGTGTTAGTTTGCTGAGAATGACGGCTTCCAGCTTCATCCATGTCCCTGCAAAGGACATGAACTCATCCTTTTTTATGGCTGCATAGTATTTCATGGTATATATGTGCCACATTTTCTTTATCCAGTCTATCATTGATGGGCATTTGGGTTGGTTCCAAGTCTTTGCTATTGTGAACACTGCCGTAATAAACATACATGTGCATGTGTCTTTATAGTAGAATGATTTATAATCCTTTGCGTATATACCCAGTAATGGGATTGCTGGGTCAAATGGTATTTCTGGTTCTAGATCCTTGAGGAATTACCACACTGTCTTCCACAATGGTTGAACTAATTTACACTCCCACCAACAGTGTAAAATTGTTCCTATTTGTCCACATCTTCTCCAGCATCTGTTGTTTCCTGATTTGTTAATGATTGCCATTCCAACTGGTGTTAGATGGTATCTCATTGTGGTTTTTATTTGCATTTCACTAATGACCAGTGATGATGAGCTTTTTTTTCATATGTATGTTGGCTGCATAAATGTCTTCTTTTGAGAAGTGTCTGTTCATATCCATCGCCCACTTTTTGATGGGGTTGTTTGTTTTTTTCTTGTAAATTTGCTTAAGCTCTTTGTAGATTCTGAATATTAGCCCTTTGTCAGGTGGATACACTGCAAAAATTTTCTCCCATTCTGTAGGTTGTCTGTTCACTCTGATGGTAGTTTCTTTTGCTGTGCAGAAGGTCTTTAGTTTAATTAGGTCCCATTTGTCAATTTTGGCTTCTATTGCCATTGCTTTTGGTGTTTTAGCCATGAAGTCTTTGCCCATGCCTATGTCCTGAATGGTATTGCCTAGGTTTTCTTCTAGGGTTTTTATGGTTTTAGAGCTTACATTTAAGTCTTTAATCCATCTTGAGTTAAATTTGTATAAGGTGTAAGGAAGGGATCCAGTTTCAGTTTTCTGCATATGGCTAGCCAGTTTTCCCAACACCATTTATTAACTAGGGAATCCTTTCCCTATTGCTTGTTTTTGTAAGGTTTGTCAAAGATGTAGATGTGTGGTGTTATTTCTGAGGCCTCTGTTCTGTTCCATTGGTCTATATATCTGTTTTGGTACCAGTACCACACTGTTTGGTTACTGTAGCCTTGTAGTATAGTTTGAAGTCAGGTAGTGTGATGTCTCCAGCTTTGTTCTTTTTGCTTAGGATTGTCTTGGCTACGTGGGCTCTTTTTTGGTTCCATATGAAATTTAAAGTAAATTTTTCTAATTCTGTGAAGAAAGTCAATGGTAGCTTGATGGGGATAGCATTGAATCTAAAAATTACTTTGGGCAGTATGGCCATTTTCACAATATTGATTCTTCCTATCCATGAGCATGGGATGTTTTTCCATTTGTTTATGTCCTCTCTTATTTCCTTGAGCAGTGGTTTGTAGTTCTCCTTGAAGGGGTCCTTCACATCCCTTGTAAGTTGTATTCCTAGGTATTTTATTCTCTTTTTAGCAATTATGAATGGGAGTTCACTATGATTTGGCTCTCTGTTTGCCTATTATTGGTGTATAGGAATGCTTGTGATTTTTGCACATTGATTTTGTATCCTGAGACTATGCTGAAGTTGCTTATCAGCTTAAGAAGATTTGGGGCTGAGACAATAGAGTTTTCTAAATATACAATCATGTCATCTGCAAAAAGTCAAATTGTCTCTGTTTTCAGACCTACTTTCTAGCTTCTCCATATTGCACTGTGTCCAGGAGACAAACTTCTCTGAACCGCATCAGCCAGCCTTCACCTCCTGGCTTCCTTTTGAGTTTGGACAATGAAACACACCAAGAGGAGGTTGAGAAGTGGGAGGAGAGAGATGATGGGGTCTTGAATCTTCCTGCTGTATCTAAGGACAGAGCCCCTGTCTATAGATGGGAACTAAATTTTTTTTCAGCTGAGACTTTTTAATTAAATTGATTGCTTTTTTTCTACTTGGTAGGGCTATACTACTTCCACCAGAACCACATCATTTTTAAAAAATCAATTACTTGCTCCTAATTCTTAAGCAAACTTTTTTGTTCACTGTATAAATGCAAGTCTTATTTGCCAACACACAAGGACTACTCCAATTGAGAATTTTCCAAATTGGCTACTTTATTACCCAGTGATTTATCATAATATGCATACTGTTTTGGCTGTCAGTATCATACATCTACATACTATAAGTCTCATAGGTTTACACACTATAAGCTACAAAAGGATTCACTTTTATTCAAGTGGTAGAGGTAATGACATTAATGGCCTACACCATGGTCAGCAAACAGGTATTTCATAAAAAAAGTGAGTGTGTGCTTCAAAAAGCCAGACCTCAGTTATGTACTTTTCCTGATTTAGAATCTTTTCTAGTTTGTAAAAATAGTCTATCACCCAAAATATCACCAAAGGTAGTAATTTGAGATTAGAAATATTTTAGAAATTATTTCATTTCAGGTATTATTAATGTTAAGATGACCCCCACATGAAGTCATATTACCAAATTACTTATAATTTCAGTTGGTTATATTTAAACTGGGGTTTTGCTTATTAAAAATGCCATCTACTTTTTTAGAATGCAATTTTAAGTCCACAGAGGAGCGCCAGTGTACTGTTTGGCTGAAAGACTGCACACCATTCTGTTAGGCAGGCTGGCTTCACACAAATATCAATTGTTAATTATCACATGGCCAGAGCAAATGGGATTGCCTTGGCACTGTTACTTCTTAAATAGGCAGCAAGGAACACTTAACCGGCTTTCTGCCGGAGCACAGCTTTTACTGAGAGAACCTGCTTCTTTTTCCCAAAGTCCCCAGGCACATTTTTGCCTTACCTGGCCACAGGCAAAGTACTGCTTACTGTAAAGCAGCAGCTCTTAACCACGACCAAACATTAGGACCGCTGAGCAGCTTTTCACACTCACATAGTGTGGACTGCATCTCAGCCCAAGTATATTAGAATCCTACAGTGGGGTCTTGTCATTACAATTTTTAAGGTGCTCCAGGTGATTTCAATGTACAGCCAAGGTTGCAAACAACTGCTGTAAAGAAACGAGGCTAAAGATGCAAGTAGGATGTATGGAGGAGCAGGTCTTAATTTCTGCTTCCCACTGAGGCAGCCCCTCCGTACTCAGCTCTGAAAGACTTTGGCTAAGCTATGAGTTCACTTAGCGAAGACCGTTTGCTCTTCTCTATCTTTTTTTACTCAAGGGAGGGTCTACTAAAAGGAAAAAAATAGCAAGCTTAACTAGACTTTGTTCAACCTCATGCCAGGGGAGTTTTTTGCTGCAAGAATATAAAATTGACCTAGCTCTATAATTTTAGGTGATGGGTGGAGGGAATAGGCTTATTAGTTCTTATATGTAGATTGTAGTGAACATTCTTAATTTTATAGAGAAAAACACTATTAAATGTCAGCTTGACTATCTTGAAAGGATTTCTAGTCAATTACATCGGTAATCCTTATGTCAATTAGGTTAGGGTATAAAGAAGACTTATTCTATAAATTCCACTTTCTAATTGCATCTGTTAATGAAATTTAATCCTCATGCAAATTGAGCAGTTGAAGCAAATTTACCAAACACAAATGAGGAAAGTTAATGTGGGGAGGGAAAAATAAATTAAAAACATCACAAACCCTGTTATTTTCACTGATAGAATTAAACCATAGCAGTTCTTTCAATGCAATGTATCAAGACAGAATAGAAAGAGACGCTTGAACTTCTGCTTGAAATTTCAGACTCATTGTATTTTGTTTCAACTCTCCAGTGCATGGGTCTTGGCACCCACTTGGATTAACTAAGAGGAATGTCTTCAACTGCTCATATCCCGACTATCTTAGAACAGATAAAGAATGAGTGCTCTAGGGTTATCTATAATCCCCCTGCATGAGTTGCAAAACTTAGTTATACGGTTCATAATTATATTATGTTCTAAGTTAAAGATACTAAATTTTACAATAGAAAATATTAATCTAGTTCTATTCCTTTAGACTAGAAAGTGTATCCACAAACCACCACAAAATGTTGAACCACACACAGGAGATTCTAAGTGAAATACAGATGAAGAGACAAATTCTCTCCACTAACGGTCTTCAGCATTCTACCTGGAACAGTCCCTGCCAAGTCCCAGATCATCTCTCTGTGGCCATTTTCCCATCATCTGGCTTCTAGATAGGACTTTGATTCCTCGTTCCATATCCTAGTTTATCACCACTTTTTCTCCTTGAGCAGTTTAATTCTGCTGACTAGGAAGGTCCTTCCAGTTACAAGCCTAAATTATCCTGCTGAGATCAAGTTTATTCTTGTTATCTTTCCTCAGTGAACATGGAGAAAATCCGACAATGCCACCCATTTTACTTATTATTTTTAAAAGGTTATTCTGTGGCTTAAAGAAATTTTTTGGCAGAATCTCAAATTACACATATATGATCCATATAAAAATACACACATATGGTCAAAGACTGGATAGGAAAAATGTATGATTATAATAGACATACTATAGTGGTAGGTTATGGGAGACTTGGTTTTCCATTTATGTTCCTGTCTGCTTCTTGATAATTTAAAAGGACAAACAAAAAAAGATGACATTTAAAATTACCTCTCTCCTTCACTCATTGTATGTTACCTTTGCTTAGATGGAGTTCAGCTCTGGTTAAACTTTCAAATTAGTTGAACAACACTAGACGTTTTTCAACAATACTAGTGCTGGGGCTCAATTCTCAGAGATTCTGATTGCATTAATCCATAATGCTTTCTAGACATCAGTATTTTTTTTTAAAACCTTTCCAAGTGGTTGTAATAAGCAGCCAGAAATGAGAAGTGGTTCTCAGCTTTAGTTCTGTATTAGAAACATGTGAGAAGCTTAAAAAAAATCCAGATGACCAGGCAACTCCCAAGCAATTTAAGTCTGAAGATGAGACCTAGGCCTTGGTATTCTTAAAGCTCACAGGTGATGTCAATGTACAGCCAAAATGGAGAATCCATGACTTAGACGGGTAGTTCTCAAAGTTCGGTCCACAAACCAGCAGCATGAGCATCTCCTGGAAGTTTGTTAGAAATGCAGGTCTTAGGGCCTCACTCCAGGCCTACTGAATCAGACACATTGGGTGAGGCTCAGTAGTTTGTATTTTCTATCAGCCTCCCAGGGGATTCTCATATAAACTAAAATTTGAAAGCTACTGACTTGGACTATAAAGTCTACAATTACAGGGGCTATAATTACTGAGATGTGTATCTCCAGAACTTAGCACAGGGCTTGTCAAAAGTAGGTACTCAAAACTTGCCTCCTAAAAGAAGGAAGGAAGAAAGAAAGGTAGGAAGGAATTTCTATGTTATAAAAAAAGAGGATTTGCAGAGTTATACACAATGAAACTCAGAGAGGTAAATTAAACTGAATTAGTACAAGACCGACCTAGGCTCATTCCCTTTTCTATATCAAACCTTAAGCTCTTAGGTGCATATATGTTTTCAATTGTTTTATATTCTTGATGAATTGCCCCATTTATCAATACATAATGTCCTCTGCCTCTTGTAGCATGTGTGACCTAAGGTCTATTTTGACTGATATTAGTATAGCTATTCTAGTTCTCTTTTAGAATTTGAATGAAATCTCTTTTTACATTCCGTCACTTTCAACCTGTTTGTATCTTTGGAGCTAAAGTGAATGTGTTGTAAACAGCATAGACTTGAATCTTCTTGTTGTTTTTTAATCTGACAATCTCTGTTTTTAATTGGAGAGTTTAGCTCATTTACATTTAAAAGTAATTATGGGTGAGAAAGGATTTACTTTTGACATTTTTACTATTTGTGTTCTATATGTCTTATCTTTCCTGTTTCTCAATTCCCCCATTACTGCCTTCTTTTGTGTTTGATTTTTGAAGTATACTTTTCATTTCTTTTTCTGTATATTTTATAGTTAATATTTTAGTAGTTATCCTGGGGATTACAACTAACATCTTAAACTTATAATCTGGCTTGATTTAACACCAACTTAACTTCAAGAGTATACAATTACTTTGCTCTTATATTCTCCATATCTCTTTCTTTAAATTGTTTTTGTCACAGACTATATCTTTATACATTGTATGTAAACTAAACTAACATAGATTTTTATTCATCATTTGATATATCTGTCTTTTAAATCATATGAGAAAAAAGAGGGGTTACAAGCCAATAATACAATAAAATAGGCCTTTTTATAGGACTATGTATTTACTTTTAGTAGTGTGTTTTATTTCTTTTGTACACCTTTAAGTTACTATCGAGTTTGCTGACATTACATCCTGAAGGCATCTCCTTACCATTTCTTGTAGGACAGGTCTACTTGTGAAAAACTCTATCAGCTTTTATCTGGAAATATTTTACTTTTTTCTTAAATTTACTTTTTTCTTAATTTTGCCAGGTATACAATTCTTGGTTGACAGGTTGTTTTTTCCTCCTGTTTTGGCATTTTAAATATACCAATTGCTATCTTGCCTCCATTGTTTCTGATAAGAAATCAGTTATTAATTTCATTGAAGATCATTTGTATGTGATTAATTGCAACTCTCTTGCTAATTTCAAGATTCTTTGTCTAGAGCTTTCAACAGTTTGATTACAATTTCTCTTAGTGTGGCTGTCTTTGTATTTATCCTACCTGGAGTTCATCAAGCTTCCTGAATGTGTAGATTTATGCCTTTTATCAACTTTGAGAGTTTTACAACCATTATGTCTTCAAATATTCTTTCTGCCTTTTTTTCTCTCTCCTCACTTCCTGAGACTCCCCTTACATTGTTATGCTTGATGGTGTCTCACAGGTCTCTTGGGTTCTGTTCATTTTTCTTTATTCTTTTTTTATCCTTCAGTTCTTTGTCCATGGTTTCATTTATCTTTTTGAGTATATATAACAGTTGATTCATTTATATTTATTTATTTAATTCTTTATTTTGTGGATACATAGTAGGTGTATATATTTATGTATTATATGAGATATTTTGATACAGGCATGCAATGCATAATAATCACATCAAGGTAAATGGGATATTTATCATCTCAATAATTTATCCTTTGGCTTCAAACAATCCAATGATATGCTTTTAGCTATTTTAAAATGTGTAATTAAATTATTTTTGACTATAATCACCCTCTTGTGCTAACATATACTAGATCTTATTCATTTTTCCTATGTTTTTGTACTCATTAAGCCTCACTACTTCCCCCTCCACCTCCCTACCCATTATCCTTCCCAGGCTCTGGTAATCACCCGTTTTGTAAGAGTTGATTTAAAGTCTTAGTTAGTAGATCCAATATCTGTGCTTTTTCAAGGAGAGTTGTTCATTTTTTTCCTGTGAGTGGGATACTCTTTTGTTTCTTCTCATGACTCATAATTTTTTGTTGAGAACAAGACATTTTGAATATTATTATGTGGTAACTCCAGAAACCAGATTCTTGCCACTGCTTGGGGTTTATTTTTGCTGCTTGCTGTGGGTTGGAGTTGTTTCTTTCTTTAGTGACTTTTCTAAACTATTTTTTATTGTGATAAAATATAGATAGCCCAACTTTACTGTTTTAGTCATTTTGTGTACAGTTGAGTGACATTAACTAAATTCAAAATGTTGTGTTGTGCAATCATCACCAACCACCATCCATCTTCAGAACTTTTTAATATCTTCCAAAGCTGAAACTCTGTACTCACTAAACAATAACTACTTATACTTCTCTCTGATGATCCCCTGGCAACTGCCACTCTGCCTCTATAAATTTGACTCCTCTAGTTATCTCATACGAGTGGAATCATACAAATATCTGTCCTTTTGTTTCTGGCATATTTCACTTAGCATGTCTTCAAGATTTATCCATGTTCTAACATGTGTCAGAATTTCTTTATTTTTGAAGGCTGAATCATATTCCATTGTAAGTATATACCACATTTTGTTTATCTATTTCTCCACTGATGGATATTTGGGTTGTTTTCACCTTTTGTCTATTGTGAATAATGCTGCTATGAATATGAGTGTACAAATGCCTGTTTCAGTCCCTGATTTTAATTGTCTGAGATATATACCCGGAAGTGAACTTGCTGAATTATATGGTAACTCTATGTTTATTTTTGAAAAAATACAATACCATTTTCTACAGTGGCTGCACCATTTCCTATCATCACTAGGAACATACATGGGTTACAGTTTCCCTCATCTTCACCAACACTTGTTTTATTTCCATTTTTATTATTTTTTTTATTTATTTTATTTATTTATTTATTTATTTATTTATTTTATTTATTTATTATCAATAATAGCTATCCAAATGGTGTCAAGTGGTATCTCATTGTGGTTTTGATTCACATTTCCTGAGGGATTACTGATGTTATGCATCTTTTCATGTGTTTATTTCCATTTAAATATCTCTTTGGATAAATGTCTATTCAAACACTTTGCTCATTTTTCCGGACTATTTTTAAAGGCTATATATTTTGTTGTATGGACTCTGAAGTCTCTATTTTGTTAGCTTGTGGTTAGCTAGTGGTTTGGCAGATTTCCCTAAATGCCTAGAGCAAACACACACACACACACACACACACACACACACACACACACACACACCCAACCCTCTCCTAGCCTGGCTGTTTACAACTCTGCCTTAGCCTTCATTTCCTGCTGTTGTGAAGCCTTAAGATCTCAAGCTGAAGGTGAAAGCTTAGTGTCTTCTCAAATCTTTTGAGCATAGGTCCTATCCTGGGCATATGCATCACTTTTTAGGTTTTCTATTATAAGGAATCTTTTTCAAAGCAATTATTCTCTAAAGTAACTCATTCTCCAGCTTTTCCTTCCAGTATTTAGGGTTGTCTATTGTTTATAACAACTATCATCTTTTGCCCTAAGTGGCAGAGGCTTGTTCATTTACCTTTCTATGTTTTGGAGGAATGTCCTCTACATGGCTGCTTTTCTGCCCTAAGAGAGTTCCAAGTTAGGTAAAACGAAGGCAAGTACTTTTAGGGACTCTTCAGGTCAAAACAGACAAACACAATTCTTTGGTAATAAGGTCTGCTCTGCTCCTTCCAGAATCAGGTACCCATAGAGAGAATGTGGCCGCCATCTTTCCTACTGCTGCCATGCTGAGGAGGGTGTTAGCCAGGATGGGAAATATATATAAATTCTAAGACTAACTTAGATGTTTTGATTATTACTGGATAAATCTTTGGTCAAGCAAAGATGGGCTTCCCAACACATCAACAGACATTCAGAGTCACTTATTAAATTTCACTTCATTAAAAAAAATCATTTCTGACTAAGTGTCTCTTTCATGTAATTTGTCAAGTCTAAAACGATTTTAAAATTTGTCTCAAAATGATATGCTTACATTTTGTGGAATAGAAAAAATTGATTCCATCTTTATTGATAAGAATTTTCTAAGTTGTCAATGACTGATTATTTGGGGCAGACATGGAAATTATAGTCTATTCTCCTCCAAGTCAAGCAATTTTCAGATGTTTTGATGAAGCCCTGACAAACAAATAGCTCCTGTAATATTTATGATAAGAGCACATGCCATATTCTACTCTGACATACACAGTTGGCTTTACCTTATCATTAACACAAAATATTTCCACTTGATTTTAATTTGTCACATTTGAATGTAACACTTAATAAGAGAGGTAGATATTTATAGGAAATACATGGAGATAGATGACCTTTCCAGGGAAGACTTAAGACCAAACAGGAAGTAGAAAGTGTGTTTTCAGAAGTGCTTAAATCATAACAATCGAAGCCCCATCCCATGTTGAGTGAGGTGCAGCATTTCAGGTAGTGGTGGATGGCCTCAGTCTATGAGTTTGTGTTTTCTTCTTGCTTCTGAATTGTATGATATGATGGAGGAAGAGGAGTGTAGGTGGAGAGTGTGTATCTACTTTTTGTTAGAAACACCTCTTTCACTTCAAAGCTCCTATCATTGACTTAGTATCATGATCCATTGCCTACCTTGCCTTTTGAAACCCATTCAACCCTATTAAGGATACAGAGTTAAGAATATGAGGGTTGGTGGTGAAGTCAGCAAAAACAGCAGAGTAGGGAGCCCCAAGGGCCCATTTCTCCACGAAAACACTGATAAAACCAGCAAAAATTATCAAACTCAACTCTGTCAGAACTCTGAAAAATAGACAAAGGCTTAAGGCAACCAAGCAAATGCCAAGTCAAGAAAAAAGTGACTAACATGATAGGAGAGATTTGTGACATTTTAACTTAAGATTCCCTTCCTCCCAAAAAAATCTTTATTTTATTTTATTTTATTTTTAAGTTTCTAACATGAAGGGAGAATCTTCAGTTTTTTGGAGCATTTTCTTAAATGCAAAAGTACACGTCCCAGTAATTTCACACAAATAAGATTTTGTCATACACTGAATTTGAATTTAGCTCCTGAGTTAACGTAGAACAGCAACAGGTGATACTAATATTATTAAGCAAGAACTCAGAAGCTGGGCAATTTTTTTATGTTAACAGCATTTTATTGAGGTATAATTTATATACAAATAATGCAAATCATAAACATATGGATCAATGCAATTTGGCAAGTGTATATGACCATGCAATCATCATCCAGGCTAAGGTATAATACACTTCCTCTCTCTGGAATGTTCTCCTTTCCAATCAGTCCTCTTGTACTCTACAATCAGCTACTATTCTGGTTTCTATCACTGCAGAATATTTCCTTGTCTTTAAACTTAATATAAATGGAAGTGTAGAGTATGGTCCATTTTGTGTCTCTTCAGCTCTCTTCAAAAACACTATAATTTTGAGATTCATCACTAGACTGAATGCATTAGCAATTCATTTTTATTTATAGCTGAGTAGTATTCCATTATGTGATTATACCGCAATGTGTTTATTCATTTACCAGTTGGTGGAAATTTGGGTTGTTTCCAGTTTGGGGTTTTTATGAATAAAGGGGCTATAAGCATTCTTTTACAAGTTGTTATATGGATATATGTTTCATCTCTTTTGGGTAAATACCTAGGAATGGAATTGTTAGGCCATAGGAGAGGTAAGTACATATTTAACTTTATTAGAAACTGCCAGAGAGTTTTCCAAAGTAGTTGTACCATTTTATATCACCCCTGTATGAGAGTTTCAGCTATTCTACAATCTTGCCAACACCTGGCCTTACTACTGTTTTTTTTTTTTCCTTAATTTTAGCAATTTTAGTGAATGTATAGTGGTGTAATGACTTTTGTGGAGTTAAACAGCAGTTTTGCTGTTGTTTTTGAGATGGAGTCTTGCTCTGTTGCCCAGGCTGGAGAACAGTAGTGCAATCTCGGCTCACTGCAACCTCTGCTTGCTAGGTTCAAATGATTATTCTGCCTCAGCCTCCCAAGTAGCTGGGACTACAGGCATGTACCACCATGCCCAGCTAATTGTTTTGATTTTTAGTAGAGACAGGGTTTCACCACGTTGGCTAGGATGGTCTTGAACCCCTGATTTCAAGTGATCCACCCGCCTCAGCCTCCCAAAGTGCTAGGATTACAGGAATGTGCCAGCGTGACAAGCTAAACAGCAGTTTTATTAAGGCTCCTAATGATAATGTTTTTCTGTATTCATTTGCTTGAATTTTCCTTTACTTGATTTTTCAGTCTTAAAAGTTTCCACACCTCAAATGCTGTCAGCAGTTACAGATAAGAATAAAAGATTTAAAAATAACTTTCACTGTGTATGTGTACAAATACGAGCAACAGGAACATACAAGAAAAGTTGTATGCTTACATAATAAGAATCTATTTTTAAAAAATAAAGAGCTCTTCCAAAACTGAGAAGTTGGTGTATTTTAAAACAAGATTTCTGGGCACCAAATGCTCACTTTATTTCAAGAAACGATTCCACCTTGAACTTGGAGCTGTGTTGATATCATTTACTGACACTTGCTGACTGAAATCTTTGGCACTCCACTAAAACTTCAATAGCAAATCTAAATAGTGAGAAACTGTATCTATATCCTGCCTTGCAATAGCAGAAACCAAAAGGAACCCTGAAATTGCCTTTTCACACTTGCAAGAGTGTGCCTTTTGAATTTTATGATTATTGTGTCATGAGAAACTATAAAACACATGCAGGTTATAAAATCACCCTTATTCTGGTAACTGATTTATCTGTGGCCCATGCTTTGGCATTTGCAACAAAATTCAACTTATAAATCTTCAGCCCTGTTCTTTATAATGCAGCGATGGATGTAAATCGGACTGTTTTCAAGCATCATCAAATATATCAAAGATACAGCTCAGGAATAGCTATATTTGGACACATGCTGCTTGTTCACCCAATCAAGTTTATCCCAAATTCTCAATAACTCCCTGAGGTGATTAACACATATTCACCATGAAATCAGCCTGAAAAAGCTTTTCGAGATATAAAACTTACCACCTGGATGGGCAGCTGGGAGCACAGGGCCAGGCAGTAAATGTCTGATGTCTAGGGGTCTAAACATGGGTAGTGAGTCTGGCATCCAGCATGGGGCCTAGAATTTAATCCACAAAACATATCTGGGCCAAGCAGCAAGTATCTACTATAAAATGTATCTGTGTGTGTATGTATGTGTGACTTTTGGTTCCATATTTCATTTCTTATGAATATTTTGAATCCAGAAAAAAAGCAGAGCCAAGAATATAAGTATAATATCAGAGAAGTGCAATCCATTGTACACTAGCAGGCATTTTATTGTTTACAAATACATATGGCTATTGTATAAGAAACACTCTATTTGTTTCAAATGGAAATGCTCGCAGTTTCCCAGAAGTTCATCATCAAGTATTGATTGTTCTGTCCTCTCTTCCTTCTCCTGTCTCTTTCATCCATCCACTTCCCTGCAAATCTACCACGGTGCAACTGGACATGGAGCTGAAGGATTTCATGCAGAGAAATACTAAAGACTGAGTTAAAAGAACATAACTTCAAGGTCTTCTCTATACTGTCCAAGGAAAAGCTGTACGTTACATCTGGGTCTGGTGGGCACCACATTAAACATAAATAATATTTAAAATATTTAATAATTCACATAGCAAGCACACCAATCATTCAAACAGTTGGTGCCCATAGCATTTAATGAGGGTCTTAGAAGCCCCTGTTGTGGCAAGTAATAAACTTTAGTTGTTGAATCATGGGAAGGAATGGATGACCATGAAGTGGTCATGACCACTGCAGAGTTGGGAGAAGTAGCTATTTGCAAACAAGCATAAAAGCACTCAATATTTTAACAACTAGTAACACATAACAGTCTTACACAAGCCTGGATTTAAGCCTCAAATCTCATTGTAACCACAGCCTTTTGTGAAAACCATGACCTTCTCTCTCAGGTTGCATTTCTCCTTGAAGCAGACCCTTTTACAGAAATCCAAAGGCATTCCCTTTTGCAGAAAAAATTTAAGCCTGAGACAAGAGTTCTAGAGAAATAGTTTATTTGGGAGGTGATCAGAGAAAATACGGGTAGAAGAGTGGGAAAGCAAGAAAGAGGATGGAAAAGAGCCAATAAGGGCTGCACTGTTGAGCAAGCTACCACTGTGGGAACCAGGACTTCACCATGAGATGCTCCAGGGATGGTGCAGTTTGTCACCTAAGGGATGACACAACTGAGGATCTGTCAGCTCCCATAGATCATGGTTTGAGGGCTGCCTCTGGAAGAGCTCACTCTCCAGCATGCAAAAGGACAGTCTACCAGAGAAAGCCCTCTGGTAAAGGGATGCAGGTATGGGATGGGGAGATAGCTGATGCGCACAGGACGGTAAAGGTCACACCCTTCGAAGAACATATCTGTGCCAGGCCTTTAGAATCAATGATTGCCATGAAAAAGGAAAGCTGAGGGTACATTCATATTTTGGCTGAAGCCAAGAAAGAAAATAAGTATCAATGAACACAAAGTACATAAAAACCATTTCTTATACATTAGAATAAAAGTCTGAGGCTATGTGCTCTCTTTGAGCCAGTCTGTATTGCTCTGATCTTTCCATGGAAGATCTCACACTAAATCTCTTCCAGTGATCTTCTGGCAGAGATCATGTTTTTTTTCCTCATATTTTTGGTTATAGCTAACCTGAAG